>NC_000010.11:54537034-54688549 GCF_000001405.40 Homo sapiens
CTCGCCCAGGCTGGAGTGCAGTGGTGCGATCTCAGCTCACTGCAAGCTCCGCCTCCCAGGTTCACGCCAGTCTTCTGCCTCAGCCTCCCGAGTAGCTGGGACTACAGGCGCCCGCTACCATGCCCAGCTAATTTTTTTGTATTTTCAGTAGAGACGGGGTTTCACCGTGTTAGCCAGGATGGTCGCGATCTCCTGACCTTGTGATCCGCCCGCCTCGGCCTCCCAAAATGCTGGGATTACAGGCCTGAGCCAACGCGACCGGCCGCAATTTGTTTTCTTTTAGATATATAACCAGTAATAGGATTGTGAGTCTAATAGAAGAGCTGGTATCAAGTCTGAAACTACTCTAAAATATCAAGGAGGAGAGTCTGCTCCCTAACTCATTCTACAATACCAGCATCACCCTGATACCAAAACCTGTCGAAGACACAAGGAACAAAGAAAACTATAGGTCAATATTCCTGATGAACATAGATGCAAAAATCTTCAACAAAATACTTCCAAGGCAAATAAAGCTGCACATAAAAAACTTAATCTACCATTATCAAGTAGGCTTCATTCCTAGGATGCAAGATTGGTTCAATGTATGCAATTCAATAATTGTGATTTATCACATGGACAAAATTAAAACCAAAAACCATAAGGTTTTTGAGAATCTCCAAATTTCCACATTGGCTGAACTAATTTACATTCCCACCAAGAGTATACAAGCATTCCCTTCTCTGTGCAGCATTACCAGCATCTTTTGTTTTTTGACTTCTTAATAATAGCATTTTGACTGGTGTGAGGTAGTATCTCATTGTGGTTTTGATTTGCGTTTCTCTGATGATTAGTGATGTTGAGCATTTTTTCATGTTTGTTGTCTGCTTGTATGTCTGTTTTTGAGAGAAGTCTGTTCATGTCTTTTGCCAATTTTTCAATGTGGTTATTTGGTTTATGTTTGTTAAATTATTTAAGTTTCTTATAGATTCTGGAGATTAGACCTTTGCGGGTGCATAGTTTGAAAATACTTTCTACCATTGTGTAGGTTGTATTTTTACTCTGTTAATAGTCTTTTCTGTCGGGCAGAAGCTCTTTAGTTTATGTAGGTCCCACTTGTCAATTTTTGGTTTTGTTGCAATTGCTTTTGAGGACTTGCCATAAATTCTTTGTAAATGCAAACATCAAGGATAGTGTTTCCTAGGCTTCCTTTTAAGATTCTTACAGCTTGAGGTCTTACACTTAAACTTTTAATGCATGTTGAGTTAATTTTTGTAGATAGTGAAAGTAAGGGTCCAGTTTAATTCTGTATGTGGCTAGCCAGTTAACTCAGCACCATTTGTTGAATAGGGGGTACTTTCCCCATTCCTTATTTTTGTCAATTTTGTCAAAAATCAGATGATTGTAGGTATGTGGCTTTCTTTTTGGATTCTCTTTTCTGTTTCATTGGTCTATGTGTCTATTTTGTACCAATAACATGTTTTGTTACCAGTACTATAGCCTTAGAGTATAGTTTGAAAAAAAGCTATGTTGTTTTTGCTTAGGATTGTGCTTTGGTTTGAACTTGTGTCCCCATCCAAATCTCATGTCAAATTCTAACCTCCAATGTTGGAGGAGGGGCTGGTGGGATAAAACTGGATCATGGGTGTAGGATTTGCCCTTGCTGTTCTTGTGATAGTGAGTGAATTCACACAAGATCTGGTTGTTTTGAAGTATGTAGTACCTTCCCCTTCATTCTCTTCCTCCTACTTTGGCCATGTCCCCAGCCATGCTTCCTGTACAGCCTGTGGAACCAAGGGCCAATTAAACCTCTTTTCTTTATAAATTACCCAGTCTCAGGTAGTTCTTTATAATGATGCAACAATGAACTACTACAGATTGCTTTGTCTATTTGGGTTCTTTTTGGTTCCATATGAATTTCAGAATTTTTTCTAATTCTGTGTAAAATGGCATTGAAAGTTCAGTAGCAATAGCATTGAATCTCTTGATTGCTTTAGAGATTATGGCAATTTTAACAATATTGATTCTTCCAGTCAATGAGTATGAAATGCTTTTTCCATTTGTTTATGTTATCTATGATTTCTTTCAGCAGTGTGCAGTTCTCCTTACAGAGGTCTTTCAGCTTCTTGGTTAGACGTACTATCTAAAAGCCCTACTTAAAAGGCACAGAGTGATGGGTTGGATAAAGTAACACCCATTCATCTGGTATCTTCAAGAGACGCTTCTCACATGTAATGATCCCCATAGGCTCAAAGTAAAGGGCTGGAGAAAGATCTATCATGCAAACAGAATACCAAATGGAACAAGGGTCACTATTGTTATATCAAATAAAACAGCTTTTAAACCAACAACAATAAAAAAGAACAAAGAAGGGCATTACATAATGATAAAGGGTTCAATTCAAAGACAAGACTTAGTTATGCTAACTATATACATATGCAATATTAGAGCATCCAAATTCATGAAACAAGGACTTCTAAACCTACAAAAAGACTGACATAGCACACAATGATAGTGGGGGTCTTCAACACCCCACTGACAACATTAGACAAATCATTGAGTCAGAAAACTTCCGCAGAAATTCTGGAATTAAATTTGACACTTGACAAATTGAGCATAATTGATGTTTACAGGACACTCCATATATCAACCACAGAATATACATTCCTCTCATCTGCACACAGAATATACTCTAAGATCAACCACATGGTTAGCCATAAAGCAAGTTGGAAAAAATCCAAAAGAAGGTCTTTCCATAAAACAAGTCTCAAAGAAATCAAAGTTATACCAATCACATACCAACCACAGTGGAATTAAAATAGAAACCTATAACAAGAATATCTCTCAAAAACACACAAATATATAGAAATTAAGCAACTTTGCTCCTGAATGAGTTTTGGATTGTAAGGCAGAAATTTTAAAAAATTCTTTTAAATAAATGAAGAAAGACACGCAAAATACCAACATCTCTGGGATGTGGGAAGAGATATGTTAAGAGGAAAGTGTATGGTGCTAAATGCCTACCTTAAAAAGTTAGAAAAATCTCTGATTAACGATCTAACACCACATCTAGAGTAACTAGAAAAACAAGAACAAACTAACTCAAAAGCTACCTGAAGAAAATAAATAACTAAAATCAGGGCAGGACTAAATAAAATTGAGGCATAAAAATCCATAAAAGCATCAGCAAAACCAAAAGTTGGTTGTTTGAAAGGACGAATAAGATCTATAGACCACTGACTATATGACTATATAAACAAAGAACAAAACAGAGAAGATCCAGATAAGCACAACATAAATGACAAAGATGACATTACAACTGGTCCAACAGAAACACAAAAAAATCCTCAGAGACTATTATCAACACCTGTGTTCACACAAACTAGAAAATATACAGGAAATGGATATATTCCTGGAAACACACAATCTCCCAAAATTTAATCAGGAAGAAATTAAAACCCTGAACAGACCAACATTGAGTTCCATATTGACTCAGTAATAAGAAACCTACCAACGAACAAAAGCCCCACACCAGATGAACTCACAGCCGAATTCTACCAGATGTACAAAGAAGAGCTGGTACCAAATCTACTAAAACTATTCCAAAATATCAAGGAGGAGAGACTCCTCCCTAACTCATTCTACAATGCCAGCATTACCCTGATACCAAAACCTGTTAAAGACACAAGGAACAAAGAAAACTATAGGTCAATATTCCTGATGAACATAGATGCAAAAATCTTCAACAAAATACTTTCAAACCAAATAAAGCTGCACATAAAAAACTTAATCTACCATTATCAAGTAGGCTTCATTCCTAGGATGCAAGATTGGTTCAATATATGCAATTCAATAAATGTGATTCATCACATAAACAAAATTAAAACCAAAAACTATACGATAATCCCAGTAGATGCAGAAAAAGCTTTCAATAAAATCCAACATCTCTTCATGATAAAAATCCTCAACAAACTCTGTATCAAGGGAACATATCTCAAAATAATAGGAGCCATATATGACACAATACAGCTAACATTAAACTAAATGTCGCAAAAGCTGGAACCATTCCCCTTAAGCACTGGAACAAGACAAGGATACCATTCTCCATTCTCACCACTTCTATTTGACATAGTACTAGAAGTCCTAACTACAGCATTCAGGCAAGAGAAAGAAAGAAAATGTACCCAAACACGAAACTAAAGAAGTCAAACTATCTCTTCTATAACCAGGAAACCTCGATGACATCACCAAAAAGCTCCTGAAACTGATAAATGGCTTCAGTATAGTTTGAGGATACAAATTCAATCTATAAAAATATATTAACATTTTTGATGTGCATTTAACATACTAAAATCATGACTTAATATATTTCAGTATATAACCACCGATTGTTTAAATTACATAGTGATAATGGAACTATACTTTCTTTTTAAAAATTATCTGAGGAATGTTTATAAATAAACTAAAAATAAACAACTCTTTTTTGATACATACAGTAGACAGTATACAGCTTCTAAAAGCTCTTTACATGGTGAAATAAGATCTGTTATTCCAAAATCTTTCCAAAAGAACTTTTCTGTTATTAGCTTGTTTTTCAACATTATCCAACTTGTCTCTGTGTTTTGTAATTGAAATATAAAGGAGAAAGGAAAAGGATAATATTTGTGTCCATGTGGAAAACAAAATTATTCATCAAACACTTTATGAAAAGCAGCTTTTATTTCCATCTTGTTTCTGAAAGCTAATTTGTTATTTTTTCTAATTATTCTTAATGAGGAGGCTCAGAGGAAATTCTTAATCATGATTCTTACTAAGACACTCAACAAGGTCAAAAGATAAAAGCTGCAGAATCAATGTCACTGTTTAAAATTACACTCTTCCAACAGAGAGATTCTTAATAAGTCTTTGTTTGCAGAGTACTTTGACTACTAAATAAAATTCTTTGCCACAAGACAGTTATGTGTACTTAAGCTGCATTAAAAAAAGCAAACTGTATGGATTAATTTTTGAAACAAAAATTATAAGCATTTAATTACTTATTAAAGAACATATCCATGTAAATATGTCCTTAGCTGTCCAGTTGTGACAGATGTTAGCATGAAATAGATGTGCCACATTTACAAGGTACGGGATGTTGAAGCAATTTTCCTACTTAAGTGAAGTAATATAGGCTTATATTTCTGGAACTTCAGAAGACTGTGCTAATATTTACCTTTCTGTTTCATCATCTAGGATATAACTATTTTTCACTTATGTGTGAAGCAGGAAAGTTGTTAGACATAGCAGGAAAAAGTACTTCGTATCACTGGCTGGCAGAGAAAGTTTATATATTTGAGTTTATACAGGTAACTGGAAATTTAGAAGTATTTTTCATTGCCTTATTTTCTTATTCCTTGTCATGAAGAGTGTTTGGACTGAGGTTCTACTATGAAAGGTGAATATCCAAGGGTGGAATGAGTAGGGACTGTGGCTGAGAGTTATGAAAGAAGATGATTCTGAAAAAAATAACAGAAAGCATAAAGCAAATATTTCCTACTTTTTCCATACATCACATCTTGCTTTCTCAGAAATTTCTCTGCTACAAACCCACCTGATAACACCTTCCTTAGAGCCATAGAGCCAAAGTCATTACAGAGGAATGTTTCATATAGAACAGGAAGTTCCAAATGAACCTATGTTCTTTTTGATACGGGAGTACTGGGAAGGGAAGAGCGTGGTCCCTTTAAATGACATGGAAGGGGGAAAGGGAAGTGCTGAGTGGAGAAGGGCGTGGTCCCTGGCTAGGGCTCCATAGGTGAAGACTGGCGCTCCTGCTTTTGTGCCCAAATGTTGCATTTTCCAAGACCACCCTGGCCTGCCATGCCCCCATCCTGGGCCTATAAAAAGCCAAGACCCTAGCAGGCAGATACAAATACAGGTGGATGTGGTGAGGAACACATTGGCAGAAGACATAAGCGGCTCCTAGACTCCAAAAGGATGTCGAGGGAGCACACCAGCGGAAGAGCACACCGACAGACACTGGCACGCGTGCAGGCCACCCACTGGTGGAAGGAGGCGGAGTTTGGTCCGGGGAAGTTGGAGGAGAGCCGTGGCCCCCCAAAACTCCGAATGGCCCACTCCAAGGGAAAACCATCTCCCTTCTGGCTCCCCCATTGGCTGAGAGCTACTTCCACTCAATAAAACTTTGCAGTTGTTCTCCAAGCCCACGTGTGATCCGATTCTTCCAGTACACCAAGGCAAGAAACCCCGGGATACAGAAATCCCTCTGTCCTTGTGATAAGGAAGGGGGTCTAATTAAGCTGGTTAACACAAATCGCCTATAGATGGCAAACTAAAACACATGCCCTGTAACACATGCCTACTGGGCCTTCATCCCTAGACACTGGGGTCAGAGCCCCACATCCTGCCCATTTGCATGCTCCCCTAGAGGTTTGAGCAGCGGGGCACTGAAGAAGCGATCCACACCCCCAACGCATGCCCTGCGAGGAGGACAAGGGAACCTTTCCCATTTCGTTTTCATTGTTTCACAATAAAGAAGTGACAAGGGATGGATGTCTACCTATGTCAACTGTTTTTAAAAATAATATTTCATGTAATGAACTGGCCTATGAAATTTGATCATATGATTTGGATCATTCTTGTCACACCCAATTAAAAGAAAGTTGACTAGCCAGGGGAAAAAAAATCAGGACATGTAGCATCGCTCTAGAAACGTAATTTTCTGCAAGTCTGGCTGTTGAAACTGCCTATTCTAACCCGAGACAGTTTTATTTATAACTGCTGAGACAACTTGCAACTCCAGGGCTAATTTTCCCCACCGCTGTTGCTCACCAAACAGAGTTTGCCAGCTCCCCAGAAACTTACTAGTCCCAATGCACTTTCTCTAAGAGCAATACATAACATTTCTCATTTTTATAAAATCACCAACCTTCTCTTTGTTCTTCAGACATACCGAAGAACACCTGACCCGTGTGTATGCTCCAAATTGTGATTCTTTATTCTCAAAGAAAACATTGAATTTAGAGATCCATCTCCACATTTCTATTTTGACTTCAACAATCCCATTCTGCATCATAAACCTTGAGAGAATAATATCCAAACCAAGTCAGATCAGTAATTTGATCTGACATTTCTTGGGGTGAAAGAAAACTTTTGTTGGCAAGTTTAGCAAAAGGGACTTTGGCCACATGCTGAAGTATGCATATGTACAAATGAATTACTTCAAGGAAAATGAGCTAGGATAACAGTTTTTATATTGGCCATAAGGATAAAAACACATTATTGATTAACTGCATTTTTTGGAGCTTGGAAGTTTTCTTAAGAATTCTCTAAAACTGAATATAATAAAGTGCTAAGACAAGTATTTTACCACCCTTGACATTTAGAAATGAAGTTTTTGATAGTTTGTTATCCACATGTATAACATATGATGTGGAAAGTTTTATGTCCTGCTGAGCTTAGTTCTCATAGGCTCAATTTTAGACAATTTCTATACAGACGCCTGCAATTTTGAATATCTGCTGCTATTTATGAGGCCTTCCCAAGGGTGGTACTCCATATTTAATTTAATTGTGTTTGCATATATCATACATTTTGCCAACAGTAAGCTCTAAGAGCACTTTATAGTTGATAACAACTTCCTTCATTGCTTTCCAAGCTATATGATTTCTTACTATAAAACCAGCCTTCCACCTTCAGTATTGTTAGTTCTAACGGCATACACGCAATGGTTTTCTCTACTATGTTCAAAAAGAGGGTAAAACTACTAAGAGTGGAAATTAATCTGTTAAAAATTTCTGTTACATTAACAGCATTTTATTATATCTCTCCTCAAATTAATTTACTTGAGTACAGTGCTAGAATTGTTATTCTGTTGTTAGACTTTATGCCATAAATTTTGGTAATATGTCTATCATCAGGAGGTTGGGATTTTCAAAATTTTTCAATTATCATAATCAGAGACAAGACCTAGGAAATGAGATCAATTTAGTCCCTCTAATCACAAATGTCTGTACTCTAAAGTTCATGAACTTGACACTAAGGGAAAGCCCCAGAATGGATTAGAAAATGCTAATAAAAGTGGAGAATGTGTGGGAAAAAAAGACACCTGGCTAAAGGAAGGCATGTTTCCAATTTTAGAGCAAGGACAGAGAAATTTTTACAGTAGATATAAGAATTCACAAAGCATAGCTGTCTGGAGCAAATAATGTCTTTCTCTACTAAAATAGCTTCAATACTACTTTGTTGCAGATTGTACTAATTAACAGTTATGTTAATGATGGTAACTCATCATCACAATTTTTATTTTATGCAAACTCTTTAAATAATAGAAAAGTATGCAATGTATTTTAGAAAGATTTGTATCCATGGAACTTATAACCAAAACAAATGTTAATTAAAATAAAGTAATATTTTTCTTCTGTCAAATTGTCAAAATTTTATTAAAAATAATAGCCACTATTGGTTCAAGTAAGGAATTAAAATTATTTTATAATTTTGGTGTAGCTATAAGTTGTTTCTATATAAAGAAAGAAAGGAGAGAAAGCAAGGAAGGAGGGAAGGAAGGAAGGAAGAGAAAGAAGACAAAATGGAAAGCCAATATACCAAGAACTTTTAAAAACTGTCCTTTGAATGAAAAATTTTACTTTGGGATCTATAGCAATATAGAGATAATTAAAGAAGTATATATTGCTGCTAAAAGTACTTATAATAGTAAAACATTATATATGTTTATTAAATCATTATGATTTAAACACACTCTGTAATTGTGACAGATACTGTATATTGGACCACCCACTCTAACACCTCTTCTTGTATTTTTCTTTTTGTGCACTATTGAGGCAGATAAACTTAAAACTGCACTTGCCAGACTCATTTGCGGATAGGGTCTACCTTGGAATCTGCGAAGCAGAAGACACTCTCATGACACAAGAACATAAAGGAACAAGTGAGCCAAAGGGAAGTCAGTTAATCACTGGGCAGGAAGTGTATGGTTCTTTGGGGGCAGCTGTGGTAGAGAAATTAGTGCAACACCAGGTTATGATAGTTGCCATGATGGGGATTGTACCTATGAGGTTTCCACTAGAAAGTTCAGATTCGTGGTTAGGTATCTATTTGGCTCTCATGATCTTGCCGCTGTGGCATCCAAGCTTAGTTTTCTGATGCTTCTAAGTCACTAGACCACATTAGTAAATTCATTACAGATGAAAGAGGCTACCTGGATTCTATGAAATTGGATGAATGAATAAGCCATTAAAATATATATTCATGTTGTTAAATAAATTTTGATGGGATGAGTAATTCTCATGGAAAGTCAAAAAATTATAAAGCAGGTTTTAGAACTGTCTGTACATTCTTAGTTTTGAGTGTGAATATATAAAGTCTTTTTAATATTAAAGACTAAATAAATGAAACATTATTATTGTTATTAGTGATTTCTTATTGAATTCCTAAATTGCTTTTAGGAATTTATTATAAGAAAATAGTGTCCTTTGCATTTTTATAAGAAATAAATGCATTGCATTTATTATAAGAAAACATGACAAACACAATTTGGAAGCAAAAATAAGGAACTTCATTTGTTTAGAATACTTATAGTAAATATCACAAAGATTCTAAATAGAATAATAACCTTATCACAATATAACGTAAGAAACACTGTAATGTGAAATCTGTTTTGTTAAAACACATTTAGATTTAAAATTTCTTAAGCCATTGGATATGCCTTGTTATCAGTGTCACACACTGAAAACTTCTAGAAGTTGTCATTTCATCTGATACATGAAGAGCAACAGTTATTCCTTAACACCTCCTTCAACACCGCATGATTCTCCTCAATTCATATTTTGAAATTTGACATATGGCACTGATGGTGATATGACAGAGAGAATCTCAATGTGTCAATGACTTCATCATATTCATTTGGGCAACTGAGCTAGAGTCTTCTGCTCCATGAAGTCTGTAATGACATTGTGGGAAAGCTGTAGGCAGGAGCTTCATATTCAGATCAAAGGCAAATACAAACCAGGGAAGAGCTATCTTCCAGTCAATATTTGTTGGCATTTGCTATATTATAAAACTTCAAGCACTCTCCCATTTTTCTGCTCAATTTTTCTTCCATTCATTGCACGGTGAGATATGTTCCACCATGAACAAAGGAAGTTAATAAGAGTTTTCAAAGATACAATAAAATAGATGAAGTTTAATATGACATTTAACCCTATTGCTTCTCAAACAAAATGCTTTATATACATAGCAAGCTGGCTTGCTATCCATCTTCTGTCACTATTCTCTTTGTTTACTATTATTTTGTTTTACCTTTTCTAAAATGTCAAATATATCAGACACACAATAGAGTATCTGATATATTTGTAGAGCTTAAAAATCAATAATACTACAATAAAATGAATATTTATGTCACCACCACCTACAATCAGAAATAAAATCCTGCCACTATCTTATAAATCTTCTGTGTGCACTTTGATAGACTTTTGCAAGTTTTAGGGCTGTATAAAATAGATTTACACAGCACAAATTCTGCAACTTGGCTATTTCTCTGCATTATTATGTTTTTAGGTTAATCCATACTGATGTATATACCTTTAGGGAAATAATGCTGTAAAGTATTCCATTATATAACTGGATCACACTATTTACCTGTTCTTTATTGGAGAGATTACTGTTGCAATAATTTTTATTTGTATTATGAACAAAGACCAGATGCATATTCTGGCATATCTCTCTTGGTGCACAATTTGAGGAATATTTTAGGACATACCCTTAGGAACGAACAAAAGTGCTGTGTCATGGGTATAGTATATATTTATATTTACTTAGTTAAAATCAAATTATTTTCCAAATTGGCTATGCCATTTTCTCAGTTACCAGCAATTTCAGAATTCCTCTTTCTCCCCATCTTCTATAAGATTTGATATGATATTAAACTTTTGTCATTTTGATTGTTGAGACTTGATATTTTATGTTTTTAAATTTACATTTTTTTCTGACTACTTGGCAACTTCTCATGTGTTTAATGAAAACATGCGCCACTGCACTCCAGCCTGGGCGACAGAGCGAGACTCTGTCTCAAAAAAAAAAAACCAAAAAAACCAAAAAAAACCCATATATATATATGTTTTATATATATATTTATATATTTACATTTTATATTTATATTTTATATGTATATACTTATATATTTTATACATATATAAAATACTCACATGTTTTTTAATGTGGCTTATTTAAGGAAACTTTACTGATCATAGAGACATAAAAATATTTTTCTTAAGTTTCCTTTAACAGTTTTAGATTTTTGTCTTTCATATATGTCATCCATATATGTGAAATTATCTATTGTAATTATTTATTAAGTGTTGAAGAACCATTTTAATTTTCCACATGAGAAATAAATTATTTGAAAAACTAAGGAAAGTTAATTATATCCATTTTCACCTCTAAATATCACCTATTTATACTTCTATTTTCCATGGTATATTATGGATCCATTTCTGTACCTTTATATATATATGTATATGTGCCTTATATAAATTATTATATAATATATATTATTGTATATATTTATATTATATATTTAATATATAGTATATATTATATATAAATATATAATACTTATATAAATATATATACATATGTTTGTTTCACATATATATACAACATTGCTTGGTTCAATTTGTTAATAATTTCTTAGGAAAATTTTTATCCCTCCTGACTTTCTATGGTTTTTGGTGACAACATTTTCCTGTGTCTTTGAAGGCTGAAGAACATTGTAATTTTGTTGCCTAGATGTTTCTTGGATTTCTTCCATAAAACTTTTTGAGCCTGGGGTTTATTGTGTAGGGAAAACATAATTGCTAGTGCTAGAATTTAGGTTTTCTATCATGTCAGATGTCGCTATGTATAGTTAATGTTTTTCTAGAAATGTGTCTATTTTGTACTTTTTTCAATTTATTAACATATATATTTCATATCATCTTTATCTAAAAATCTCAGTCTCTTCTGCAGCTATAATTTCGGCAATACCAGTTTTAATATTATTTATTTGGCTTCTTTCTTTAATTTCTATTTTTCCTGTTCATTTTAATTATAAATTAAATAATCCTTGGCTTTGTTAAGTCTGCATTATTTTGATACTTTATGTTTTTTATTATTTATTTTTATCTTCTTTGTCCTTATTCTCTTTTCTTTACACACACACACACACAATATTTCAGATAGATGCTTATTTTGTTGATTTTCAGCCTTTCTTCTTTTCAACCATGAGAAGTTAAGGCTATAAATTGCCCCCTCAATGCTTTTAGAATCACATTTCAAAAATGTTGAAAATTTATATTAGTGGTAATTTAGCTACAATTGTCTTCTAATTATGATTTCTTTTTTACCCATAGGTTATTTAAAAGATAGTTTTAATAAATACAAATGTATTTATTTTACATATTTTTATTACTGAATTACTAATTTATGTAGATGTCAGAGAATGTGGGTATACTAATAGATTCTTTTGTAAAATTTATCGAAACCTTCTTTAATGCCTAGTATATGGCCCATTTTTAAAGTTTCATTTGTTATTAAAAATAATGTATGTTCTACAACTTAACAGTAGTAGTAGTATCAAACCTATACCTTTGGTATAGGTTTTTATATATGTCCACTGGAAAGTTTAAGTATATTTTGATATATTCAGTATCTTATTGAGATAGGATATTGTGTCTGCTAATCTATCAATTGTTGACAATAATGTGTTTAAATCTTCTACAGTGATGTTTGTTAAATTATTTTTGTACGTCTGCGATTTTTTAATTTATATTTTAAACTATGTAGCTAGGTACATGCATATTTAGAATTGCTACATCTTCTTAGTAAATTGAACCTTTATAATTACTGTATAGTGGCCTTCTTTATAGCTAGTGTATTTTTGCCTTAATGCTTTATGATCTGGTCAGGCACCAGATTTTATCTCCTAACTCCTATAGACTCTTTAAAACTCTTAAAATCTTAAAATATAGGATCCAGACCACAAGCAATTTACAGACGCTCCAAAACAAATGTGGATTTTAAAGCTTTCTTACATCAATAGACTCATGCTTTCTTATCTTATCTGATTGTTGAATGATTCTATTTCTTTTTCCATGTTATCACCACATTTTAAAAAGAGTTTGTTTTGTTTTGTTTTGTTTTTGTTATCCGTGTTTTTAGGGAGTAGTTTTCTGAAATTCCAGTCAGCTAAAATCCTGAAATAGGAAACCAACTGTTATTCTTACAACTTCCACTATGCAACCTCTCTCTCGCTAGAAAAATAGTATTTGCAAATATCAAAATATAATCCCCTTTCCTGTTAGGTGAGCTGCATGCAATTAAACTAAACATAATTTATATTTTAAAAATTATTTTTTGCCATTATTTTCTTGAGCCAGTGAGTTCTCTTATTTTTGCCCCTGTGCCTTAGTGTATGTGTCTGTGTGTGTGTGTGTGTGTGTCACATGTGCGTGCACACACATATACAATGTTTGTTGTATTTTTTTCTGGTTAACTGAGACTAAACTTGAAATTTAAAGCTGGCCTTCCATGAAAATTATTTAATGATGCAATGCAAAGACAAATTGCTTTCTACATCAATTTTCTATGCAAGTACCTATAAATGTTAGATAACTAAATTATCCCAGAGTTTTCTTCAGGAAATATCAGCCTTTTATTCAAGTATATGATTTTCTATAAAGTATTGCTATTATAATCTTTTAATGCTAGGTGAATCCACATCAAGCATTCAATATTTGTTGGATGATACAATTAAATTTCTCTCTGCTTAGGTTGAGTTTACATTGTCTTTAAAAATGTCTTTTAGGCAGGGTGTAGTGGCTCACACCTGTAATCCCAAAACTTGATGAGGCTGAGGTGGGAGGATCACTTGAGGCCAGGAGTTCATGACCAACCTGGCAAACATGGCAAAACCCCACCTCTACTAAAAATACAAACATTAGCCAGGCATAGTGGCACACATCTGTAATCTCAGGACTAGAGTGGACGAGGCAGGAGAATCTCCTGTACCTGGGAGGCAGAGGTTGCAGTGAGCTGAGATCACAACACTGCACTACAGCCTGGGCTACAGGCTGAGACTCTGTCTCAAAAAAAAAAAAAAAAAAAAAAAATTAATATCACAAACATGGTAAACATAAAAATTATCACAGTGTAAAGGAAAAAGTAATATATACTCACAAATATAAACAGACAGTGGGAGTGGGGACAAATTTGCATTCATATTGAATCAAGACATTTATATCGCCTCTATACAAAAACAAGATGAACTAAACTAAATTAAAGGGATGTTAATCTAGAAATTAAATGTATCATGTCAGCTAGTTTTAATATATGGATGCTTTGGGCATTGTAAGATTAAACTTTCTGAATCATAACAGAATGAAGCTCATTAAAATAAAATAAACTTACCCAAATGGAAGATGACCTAAAAGAATAATTTTTGGGCAAAATATTATAAAAATAGCTACACAGATATTAGAAAATATAACAAGCAAAATTTGATTTTTACTTTGGTGTACAATGTCCCAACATTCTGAATAATACATACCCTTTTCTCTTGAAAAATATGTATATACTGAATGACTTTAAAACAAATCTAGAAATTAAATGTATCATATTTTCCATACTGTTTTTGTTTCAATCAGATTTTTTAAAAGAACTTTCATCTCTAAATTTAGGAATCTCTTTTTACAATTTTTTCATTTACAGCTACCTCAAAAAATAGTATGTATTCCTAAAATAATATAGTATAAATTTATTTTGAACATCAAAAAGAATCTGAGCTCACCTATAGCCCACAAATGGAAATGAGAAACTCATGTGTTTTCATATTTATAAACACATATTACATCTTATACAACACATTATGAAAAAGAAAATAAATAAAAGCATGCTAATATAATTTGAATGAACAAGAAATGCTGGAAATATTTGAATTCTACCTTTCAACCACATTAATTAGAGCTTCCACTAAATCATTTCCAGACTCATATAACTGTAATAATTTCACACCTATAATTATCTCTCCATGTTCCCTGCTATGTTTATTTTACTTAAATTAGACATATTTCAGTATGTTCTGAAGATTTTGCCTTATATTCAACATTACATATTTGTTTAAACTCCTCCCTTCATGAATGTACTCTCCTCTGATTCTATAGGACCACCCCTCATCTATTTTTATGCACTAGCTCCATTATGAAACCTTTCAAAATCATAAAAAGTAGAAAATTTTATTCATAGTTCACAGTTGAAGAAAAGGCAGCTCATAACCTTGAAGCCTATATCCTACTGTGATACTCTTTGTAAATGATAGTATGAGAATTAAGCCTTTATTTAAAACTTTTTCATGTCAATGTCAGTTCTGTCTCCAAAACTTAAATGGCATTATTAATGAATGTGTTACAGGCATTACAATGCAGTGATTAAGAATACAGCCGCTAATACCAGCTTCCTTGAGTTTGAAACCTAGCTCATGGCTCCCTCCTCCTTTGTTTTGGGAAAATTACTTACACTTTATGTCTCAGCTTCCTTATTGGTAAAAAATGTATAATATGCAAGTCTACCTTATAGAATTGGTGGAAGCATTAAATAATGCAGTTGTGAAACATACAAAAGAGTATCTAGTGGATGGTAAGTGTAAAAGTAGTATTAACTATTAGTATCTACTATATGGGGTTGTGGGTTGAAGTCCACTAATAATTTGTGTCAACATTACTCTGGTAAGAGTTCATGGCAATGACTTGTTGATTCTAGGAAATTTCTGTTCATCAATGTATTGTAAAAAATAAAGAACTTCACTGTTTTTTATTTTTCCATGAAATGCCTACAGATCAATTTACTGAAGACAATAGTCTGCTTATTTGTGCAAACAGTTCACTTATGAAACAAGTTTATTTCTTCACTATACCTACCAATTCTAAATTATTATGTCATGGATTTTTTCCATTCCTAATCAGTTCCTTCTCTTGAAAGATCTGCATTACACAACTTGAGACCAGACTCCAAAGCTCCATAAATATCCCATTCTGACCTCTTTTAAACACTTCTAAGATTCTGTCAGGGTGGTGTGCTTTTTGATTACAATGTATTCCAATAAATTCAGGTGTACTTTACTTACAGATTATCTGGTGATATATTGAGGAGAGCAATGAACTGTAAGCACCACTGTGTTCTAGCTGAGATCCCCTCTCTGATGTGTCTTAAGATCCTTGACTTGCAAAATGAATGCTCTACTGGGGAAGCCTTGAGAGACTCTGCAACTGTGATGGTGGGGTCTAGGTATTGATATTGTGTCTCAACTTTGGTCACTGTCAAGTTCCCAAATGTTAGTTTTATTTTGTCTAATGGGAAATAGAATCTATTTTAGGACTTTTTCTGTGATCTGTTTAGATTGGAAAATGTTAATGTTTGATTTAAATCTGCTTTATTGCTAAATTACTCAATTGTGTCCTTCTGTCCTCATTTTTGTGAGTCTCTAAGAGGAGGTTTATACAAAAATGGCCAGACATGGATCCTGATAAGTTGATTCCTAGAGCCAGCTCTGGAATTAATAACTTCAGAAGGTTCCTCCTCGGACTGGTATCCCTCACATAAATTTTCCCTGGAGTCAACTCTTCAAAACCTTAGGCAAATGTTTCTTATTCTTATCCTGTTCAGTCTTTGAGAGTCAGGTTCTGTATAAAATCTCCCATTAAAAAAGTTTATGTTATCCAAGAACCTCAGATTATCGAGGCTGGGATTAAAAAAAAAATCATTAACTTGGAGGCCTGAAAACACTATGCAAAAGCAACACTTTCTACTGCTTGTTGCTAGATTCTCATGGCTTTGAATCACACTAAGTGTATGCCTTCTGTAGGCTGAACCCTTGCCTCATATATGTATCTACATTATAAATCTAATTTCCATGACTGTCTTTCAAAAAGGCATAATTTCTTTACAAATAATTTACAGTTAAGAGGCTACTTGGTGAAATTTTTATATTAACAGAAGTTGTTAATTTGAGAGGAGTCTTAAAATGGAAAGGAGGTAAAATTCCTATTACAATGTGAACTTAATGGCCTTTTCCCTACTTTTTATTTTCCCCTGTCTTTGTTTACTCAATACCCTTTTGCCTTACTCCATTTTCTCACCTGGCCCCTTACCTCCTGGATTACACAACCTGAGTTTCACAAATCTCAATTGCCTCTTAAAGTTAAGTCCTCTTTAGACATCAACAAGCTTCTTATAGTTTATTTTTAGCCTTCATTCTCAGTCTGAACTAAGAATCAATGTAAAAGTCTGGACAAAGTACAGAGGAATTTAGAATCATTCTAACAACATATATCGTAGGTTTCCCAGATCTACGTAAGTGATTCTTATGTTAGTAAGAAAATTAATGTAAAAAAATTGGATTAAAAAATGAAGACTTAGGATAATCTAAGGTGAATGAAAGACCCTGAATATTAGAGAAAACCAGAAGTATTTAGGAAAGCTATACACAGTGGAGAAAATATTTTGGAGGCTACCCCAAGACTTTCCTGAAAATAGGTTGGACTTCCATCTCATTATAAAAAGAGAAAGAATGAATCAATTTGAAACTTTAGGAACAGGACCTCCAACACCTTTAGAAAATATTCAGGAGTAGATCTTGAGACAGACAGGACCTAAACCCTCTCATCATTTTTGCAAAGAGCCCTAAACCAAAATTAGGGAATGTAAAATGGAAAAAGTACATCGGAAAATGACTTCATTGACAAACAGAACTCCAATTCCTAACTGAACATTTTGAAAAAGTCATGGAATAAAAACAGAATAAGCCTCTGAATAAGTTAACAGCCTTACAGATGAAACAACTGGCTATTTCTCCTCAATTTATCAAGTATCAGAGGAGGAAGCTTCCTGAATACAAACATTGATAGATAACTGTAAGCAGAAAGGACATTGGAAAAAGATTCATAAAGGACATTGGAAAATAGCTATTCTGCACTAACTGTGAAACTAAAAGAAAATTTTTAAAAAGGAAGGATGTGATAAGGGAAGTTGATGCTGATCTGTGGGGTCATTAATTCCCTGATGTCCCATTTCTCTAAACATTAACAGACAGTATCAAGGTTTCTGATTGATTCAGGCACAGTAATATAGTTTACAGACCCTGCCACACATGCATTCAGTCACTCCCCTAGAGTCAATAAAGTATTTAGGAGATGAGTATTTGCAAAAATCTACAGATTATTGTGTATCACTCTATAGCTTTTGCCCTCAGATCTTTAACATCGTTTGCTCATTTGAGACAGCACTTCCCCTCATTTAATAGGTAGGGATTTCCTATGTAAACAGAATTGCTAATTTAAGTGCTCTCTTGATGGGCTTTCTCTTGAGATCTCTAAAGAATCACCTATTCAGCAGGGCACGGTGGCTCACGCCTGTAATCCCAACACTGTGGGAGGCCGAGGCGGGCAGATCACGAGCTCAGGAGTTTGAGACCAGCCTGACCAACACGGTGAAACCCCCTCTCTACTAAAAATACAAAAAAAAAAAATTGGCCGGGTGTGGTGGCAGGCACCTGTAATCCCAGCTACTCAGGAGGCTGAGGCAGGAGAATAGCTTGAACCCAGGAGGCAGAGGTTGCATTGAACTGAGATCATGCCACTGCACTCCAGCCTGGGTGACAGAGCGAGACTCTGTCTCAAAAAAAAAAAAAAAAAAGAAAAGAAAAGAAAAAAGAAAAAGGAAAAAAAAGAATCACCCATTCATAATCATATCACACCTAATTTGGACTATGGAGTACAAGGAGCCTGGTATCGACATCAAACTCAAATTGAAGATCTACTGATATTGGCTGAATTATTGGGGAAGAACACCTCACATTTCTCACTGACCCATTTAAGCCTCCATCTACACTTGCCCTCTACAACCAAAGGGAAAGGACAAAAGCCAGCAGTTGTGTCTAACAGAAAAATAATTACGAATACTATGCACTAGTCCTTGGAACACTCCTATTCTTCTGATCAAGAGATCCCAGTGGGCTGGGGTACCCATTTATTTCAGACCTTGCAACTATAAATAAAATATTTAGCCCTGTTTTCCTGTGGTGCCAAAATTCTATATTATTTTAATTTCCATGCTACCTGAGATTATGTATTTTAGCATTCTAAATCCATGTTCTGCTGTTTGTATTGTCCCTTTTAGATCATAATAGAAAATACTCATTAGTCTTTCTCTAGAAAAATCAATGATGTACCTGGACAGTTTTACTGCAGAAGTGTACTGAGGCACCCAGGTACCTTATACAAGTCTTCTGCTAGACACTGAAGGACCTTGAATCTCTCTATAATTCTACTCTTATCCAACATGCAGACAATTTTTGCTATGTTGTCAAGATGAGATAATTTTTCAGGTTGATTCCAACTACTACTTATAGCTCAGAAAGTATATAATGTGTTCAAAGAAAAATTAGAATTTTGTAAGAAGAAAATGCACTATTTAGAACATGATTTATAATCCATCACTCTGGAGAGATTACAAAACACTTTTTTTTTTTCTAAAACTGTTAAGAAAATATACTTATTTTAAGAGACTTTTTTTTTTTCGGCTGTAGGGGGTGAATTTTTTTTTTTTTTCAGTGAGAGCAGGTTAATTAGGAAAGTAAAGGAATAAAGAATGGCCACTCCATAGAGATTTCATAGGTTATTACATGCAATGGGTTCCCAATATTACTGAAATTACTGTACCTCTAAATTTTAACTTAGTTGTTAGTAACTCAATCTCTTTGTTGTATTATAAGCATAATTAGCTGTAGGGGTGTGTCTCTGTGTGCCCTGGGAGTGGCAGGGTTGGGGTTGGGGGTGGGAGGAGTAGGAGGCTGTGTGATTTAAAATTAATTATTTGGCCTTCCTAATTATCTTAGATCTTTTTACCAATTTGTGCATGATCAATTTGGACAAGCCATTGGTGTTTTGACTTTACTTTATCAGAATCTTTAAAGACTATTCATCTTTAAAGTTATCCATAAATTTTTCATAGACTCAGTGGCAAAAGGCTACTCACCTTGTCTAAGGGCAACAGCCAGACTAGTGGGTAATTACAGTGGGTAATCTTCTGATGTTTCTGCATTATATTCTCTACTCTTCACCTAATTACCTCTGAATGTCACCAAAACTGTACAGTAAATTTTAATCACACAAGGAAGGTATTTTGGACAATGATAAGTCTTTGGGTAGATTCTAAAGACCAGTGTTAGGTTTGCAAAACAAAAGTCTATTGGGTGTGGCCAACAAATTATACCAAAAAATTGTTATCTTTGTAAATTTAGACACTATACTTTCAGAATGGTGCCTAATATTACTCATGGATGATTTGGGCACATTTCCCCCTCAAACCCTAGAAAAAGAGAACTCTAGATAATTTCATTCAAGAAAGAGAAAAACAGGGCCTCATTTTGAGATATACAACATTACTCATGTCTAATTCTGAATAGTTTTCTCCTGTCTTTAAATCATACTATCTGTGCTTCAGATATTATCAGGAACACTGAACAATTTCAGTGAGGCCATAGAAATCATCACCTGGAGATTTCATAATACTGAGGAGGTGGTACTTCTTCAAAACATAGCAGTACGAGAAATAATATTGGCCTGTCAGGATGAAACATGAGGCATTTTACAGGAGGAAAGTTTACTCATATTCCTATAGTTCTTTCTGTTTTTATTTTATTAAGAAAATATGGGAAATTTTTTAAAAATTACAAGACAAGGTGATAAATCTAGTATTCCCACATCTGACCATTAAAACTTTTTGGTTTGGTCATGGGTTCCATTGTATTGCTTTAATTTAGGCATTTTTGGCTCTTGGCTTAGAATGTAAAATACTTCTGTTAGTATCTGTCTGTGATTCAGCATTCAAATATCAGGTTTTCATAATCAAAAATATTTCTATGTAGCCACTCTGATATGACAATAAATGATCATGCAGCCAAAACAAAAACAAACAAACAAACAAACATAAAAACCTAATGTATATGATAGTTGAAATGATCCCACCAGAAATCTGATATGCAATCAGGACCCTGAAGACAGTGGTATTGATTTTGATTGATTATTTGTGCAGATGATTATTATTTATCCTCCAGCTTAGGTTGAAAAATGACTACAAGAGAGTTCTGAGAAATAAGAAACCACCTATGTTAACAAAACTTTTTATTGTTTGCTTCAAAAATATTTTCTATGAAAGGATAAAATCATAAGCCAACTAATTTTATTATTTTCTTCAGGAAATTTCCACAGATCAATTTATTAGAGACAACACTCTGCTCATCTGAATAAATAATTTATCAAACAACAGTTTACTTATTGAGGCTGCTTGTTTCCACATGCATCTCGCTCTGCCCACCAGTCTTAAATTACTATATCATAAACTCTGTATAATCTCAGTTAATTCCATACCTTAAATGACTCAGTTTAAATCACTTTACCACAATCCCCACACACGTTAAGTACCTCAGTTTTGACTTCCCTCTTCTGAAACATTGCTATATCATTGTCAAGGTGATGTTTACTCTTACCTATTGTAGTAACTTCTATAACATTTAAATTTTATTACTACATTATCATTCTTGGACTAAACAGTTAAATTGTAGTTATTGTTCTTTCTTCTATTACTATTAATACTACTATTTTGGTATTTCTCCATCATTTACTGTTGTGGGAAAATGTGAGAAATATGACTGTATATATTTTATTTTATTCACCCAAACTAGAATATTTGTCTCTTTTATACCTCTCCAAAGACCCCACTTCTATTTTTAAAAATTAGTTGATATACTATTTTGTATACATGTTTGTTTCTATCTGCTTATTTAGTTTACATGTTTCCTTTTATTCTTTACCATCTAAGTACTCAATTCAAATAAGATACAGAGATAAGGTCAGTTTCTGATAGCCAAAGAATAGCAATAGGTTTGGCACAAGAATTGCGCAGGTTCCTCATGAATTTGACTCTAAGAAATTGTGAAATCTCGGGGAAGACACACGAAGGCCTCTGCATCCCAGTTTTCCCTTATCTCACTTTTCTCTTCTCTTTTCTTTTATCATATGTATGCTATGTGAGAATTACAATAATTAAAATATGTAACATATGAGAATTAAAATATATAATAAGGATAGAGCTTACTACAACACCTAGCACATCCTAAGTGCTCAATAATAATCCTTATTACTTTGTAATGCTCCTGTGAGTCTGAAAAATAATGTATTTAAGGCTCCTAGTAGATACTCTTTTAACAGGAACTACTAATCTTGTTATTGATATTAATATAGCTTGGCTATATTAATCCAGGTGGATCAACATCCTCTGTATAAATGAAACCACCTATTTACAAGGTATTCCACAATAATTCAATGTTGCATCTTCAGCAAGAACAAGCCATAGGTCTGAAAATGTAAGTGCAAGGCATTGAGTATGCATTTGTGTATGTGGTCTGATTATTGCTCTGAAGATAAACAACTACTGAGACCATATATTCTGAATCCTCTTACAGGAATACAGTATATGATTGAATTTTTTTTCTATCTACAGCTTGCAATGACTAAAAAAATGTTGGTTTGTTCCCACAATAAATTCCCTCCAAGACCACAAATGAGAAATACCACTTTACATGTGCATACCTTAATGATGACCTCTTCTTGAAAACAAAACAAGCATGCTTTAGACAGAATTAGCTTCTCACTGTAGAGATGACTGGCTTAAATGAGAATTCTGTCTTTGCTCTAATAAGTTTATTTGACATCTTGGTTTGTCTTATAGTAAAAAAAAAAAAAAAAAAAAAAAAGAAAAGAAAAGGTGGTTTGCTCCCTTTCCCCATGGTGTTAAATTAATTCCATGAGCAGTTTTGTTACTCTACACAATAATACAGTGTGTCCCCTTATTTATGTCATAATGTGTCATAATGTCTATTGGGAAAAGAGATCAATTTATGTAACTCAATTTGTTGTCTTTAAAGGAGTTTAACATTGTATTTGAGCTGGACATTGGTTGCCTTGAGCTTTGAGAATTTAGGCTGATTCATCATGTGAACCTGTTGTAGAAATGACCTTCTCTAGGCTTCTGCTTTAGTTTTTACATGAATGGTCCTAATGTCCGCCTATAGAAGATTTTGTGCACATGATGACCTTAGGGTTAATCTACATCGGGAAACACTTAAATTACCATAATAATGTTCTCTCGAAATTCTTAAGTATGATTAATGTTGGTTATGTATCGGCCTAGATAGAGATTTCTAAAAGTGAGTGTTCCTGAGTGCTTTGGATGATACTTTGTAAGCATATAGACATGAAACTATTTAAAATCATTGCATAATGTTGCAATATATCAAATTATTTTCCTCTTGACGTATATTTAGATTGTTTTTTGTCACTCATTAAAAGAATGCTACAAGGAGTTTTTTTTATGTACAACACTTTGTGACCATATAAAGGCAGTTGCCTAGATTTGGAATTTGTATATAAAAAATATAGATACACACTTTTGTTAAAAGCTTAAAATTTGCCCTTTCAAAAGAATGTACATATTTAATTTTTCAATAATCATGTATAAAGGTGTCAGCTGTATTTTCATAAGTTTAAATGAAAATAACTGCTTGCGTTATAGATTTTTCTTTTTTATGTTATAAAATAAAACTTGCTCTAATTTATGGGTAGAAAGAATATGCCTTACAAATTTAATTAAAAGTTTTAAATGTTAGGATATAATGAAAATCACCCCATTCTTTTTTATTTCCGAAACAAGAAAGGGATGTTAAGTTTTTCAAAATTGATTCACATGAGCTAACATTAAAACCATTGGATGGGTTGTGTTTGTGTCCTTGCCAGTTAGTAACTTTATTATAAAATCTCTAAATCTATTACCTTCTGTAAAATGATTTTGAATAAGCATCTGTGTAAAAATTGTTTTCTTTTTCACTGGATTAGAAACTCTGTTAATGTGAACACAGTAAATGAACTTAAAGAAATAGTCAAGAGTAAGAAAATATGAGAAAATAACTTTTAAAAATAAGTTGGCAAGTCAAGTTCTATGGAAAAATTAAAAGACGCTTAAACATCTTAAGTAAAATTTCAACATGCCTGTTACGACACATCCCCAGGAAGTTTATTTTCATAATATTTGATGTGATTTTAAGGTCATCATTTAAGAGAAAATAAAAAAGGTCATGAAAGGGATTTTCCACATGAGGGCTTCCAATTGAAAATATTTACATATAAAATGTTAATTGTAGAAATACAATCCAATAATGAACAAAGTTCAAAAGTGAGTAAACCCTGAAGCAAGACAAGGCAAGATATGTAATATCTATCAATAAAACTAAAACATTTTCAAACATTTGGTGGGAAAGACTATCTTAGTTAATCAGGGACTTCTGGCTTAAGGAAAGAAAGCAACTTGTCAGATTTAATCAAATTCATGGGAATCAATAGAATTGTTTTCTTTTGTTGGTTTTCCCAGATATATGTACCAATCAGCAGTGGTGATAACTTAGATGAAAGGAATTGGTGGAAGGAGAAAGGTCTCTTCAAAATAGGATATTATCTCACTTCCTAGGTTTCATAATCTCTAATAAAGCACTCCTAATTTAAATTGAAAAACATCACTGTTTATTTCATGCAATAAATTAAATCAAAATATATAACTGGTTTGATATTTGTTTCCAAGTATTTGTCAGTCTTTAGTCAACAATTCATTAAAATGAAAAAAACCTTAATTCTGATTTACAAAATGAAAACTATCAATGGTAATTATTATTATTATTATTATTTCTATTTTTAGTAGCGACAGGGTTTCACCATGTCAGCCAGGATGGTTTCGATCTCCTGACCTCATTATCTGCCCACCTTGGCCTCCCAAAGTGCTGGGATTACAGGCATGAGCCACCGCACCCAGCTTTTTTTTTTTTTTTTTTTTTTTTTCCTGAGATTGTATCTCCCTCTATTGCCCAGGCTGGAATGCAGTGGTGTGATCTTGGTTCACTGCAACCTCTGCCTCCCAAGTTCAAGGGATTCTCCTGCCTCAACCTCCCAAGTAGCTGTGAATACAGGCGCCTACCACCACACCCAGCTAATTTTTGTGTTTTTAGTAGAAATGAGGTTTCACCATGTTTGCCAGGCTGGTCTCAAACTCTTGACCTCAAGTGATTCACCTGCCTTGGACTCCCAAAGTGCTGGGATTACAGGCATGAGCCACTGTGCCTGGCCTATCAATGGTAATACCTTATTGTAGTATGTAAGGATTGTATAATTCTATTGGATCTTGAAAGGTTGGTAAGAAATCACTGAAATGAGTAAGAATGGAATTCAGTAACTCAATATTGATATCAAGAAATTAGAAGAGAAAACAATACATTGTGCATAATGAAGCCAAAGATAAGTTAATTATTCCTTTTATGAAAGGTCTCTCATGGCATACAAAGTCATGTGATACACAGTAGCACACCTCATCTCTTACATATGAAATTAACTAGGAAAGTGTGTTTTTCAAAATGGGCATGAAGACATTAGTTTCACAACATACTTATATATAATACCTAGATATACATACATGTAACATATACAAGTATACATAGCACATGCTTCATATATATGTACATATATGAAATCTCACTCTCAGTCTCTCTCTCTTGATATACAGACAGAAAGACAGAGAGGTAGAGTTTCATGTATAGAGAGCTATATATTATAACTCTTTATATATAGCACGGAATGATTGAAACCAAATCATTTCAGGTCCAAAAACATACAAGTAAGGGCCCCTTTTGTCAGTTTAGTTAGGTCAATATTATACCCACCTCTCTATTTGAACTTGTCTACATGAACTGTCTCTATGAATTTCAGTAAAGTGGTAACATGAACTCTAATGTTTGTTGGACTTAACCTTTTAGGAGCAATACGGAACACTATTAAATGTTTATTTACTCATGTATAGGAGATAAAAGATAGTGAATTCTTAGCAGGCTTCAAACTAACTTTTGAGCTTGAAGGTACTTATCAAAACTTATAAATGATAAAGGAAATAAAAAAAGTGCTATCAAGGTGGATTTTTAAAACAATTTACATTTTGCTTATCATTTTGATCTTCCTCTTATGATCTATACATTTGAAAAATAAATACGTCTATATTATTGCCCAGGTTTTGAAATAAGCCCAGTTACTAATAATGCCACAAGCTAAGACTGAGTCTACTGTTACCATAAAGCCAGATTAGCAATCCAAGGGCCTGGGGAACTTCCGCTTTTTTAGCGCTTTTCCTCTGGTGGGTTTGTTCTTGCATTTGAACAAAGCTATGGGTTTACATGAGTAATTGCCTAAGTATCTGGACTTGCCGGGTATCACTGACAACAGGCCCAAATTATAATTAACTCAAAGTACCGTGTTAACTTTTTCAGCCAAAAATACATAGACCATAAGATATTAGGCTTTCTGGAAGAGTCTAAGTTATTGGCTCTGGCAGCAAAAGAGTAACATATTAACTGAAGAGTAAAGACAAAGCTTCAGACAAAGGTTCTCTATAAATAATTGTGTCAAGATGTCATTACATCAGTGGAATGTAGCTCAATTAACAATATCTTTTAAAGGACATCACCTTGCCCTACCAAGAGAAGGTAGCTGTTAAATTGTGGCTCCAGCTTGAGGTTTGATAATGTGGCAGCTATAGGATCCATTTCCTGTTCTAGTTGTGTATATTGTGGTAATAAGAAAAGCAACAGAGCCCCACCATAACCAAATACTTTTAAAAATACAACCTTACCCTAAGAAATTAAGTAAAAACAAATCTTATTCCTCTGGTCAGTGTTGAAGAAAAAAACAAACATTCGACTTCGACTGGTTGCCTCACAGGGGGAGAAAAATAATAGTGCATAAAAGCAAAGCAAAACAAACAAAAAACCTTAGTGAGCCTAGCTGACTTGTTCTCAAGAACACAGAGGAACATGGAGGAGAGGCAAGGCTGTTGCCTAGTTCTAAATTAATTAATTATAAAGAATTACCCCCAATTAAACACTAACTCACTGCACTTTTTTTGTAGATTCCTTGTTTTTCCCCCCCACATCATACTGAATCCACCAAAATTATCATCAAAATTTTAAAGCTTGATAAATTATTTTGTCTATCCACTTCAAATGATTATACATCAGACAAGATCCCTAACGACATATCAGAATGAATTACATATCTGGATATGAAAGAACTAGGATGTCTAATTTAAGGCAAAGGTGGAGTTTGCAATATTTTAGTGAGAGGATTGAGAAGTATGGCTAAATAGGAATTAAAGTCAGCATAATCCTTACATTAACGGAATTTTATTAAAATTGTACCATGTTATGAGTAGCAGAAAGTATTTGGAAAGCTGTTTCCATGTTTACCTTTAGTGTAGTAGATAAAGGCTATCTCAAATAAAATGTTCAGTCTAAAATGACGGCACATTTTTTCTTACAATGATTAATTTTAGAAAAATCTATAATCCAATTTACTGCTTGAATTTACATGGTTGCATATAAATGATGTGACTCCTGGTGTGAATTAGGTGGCAAATTAGAAAAGGGCTTTTTATTTTTATTGTTTTTTAGTGAGAAAGCAGGTATCAATATAACTCAGAGAAATATTCCCTACATCTTAGAGTGAGATTAATAAATATGTCTTTGTTATCAATAAAATGGGAATATAATTCTATCTCTTTGTATTGTTATAAAGATTAAGTTGAAAAAATTATGGGAAGTCCATAGTATAAAACTGAGTACCCTCAAAAAATTACTCTACAAATTATTGTTTATTTCTATATTATTTTATCATGTATCAATACATATTACATTTTCAAAAATATAAAAATACCTCATTCTTGGAAAAAAATGAACATTTAAGAGAGACAATATGTCACTTTCTCTTCAGCAATGTCAAGAGAAAGGAAATTTTAAACAGAAAACTGCAGATGTCTATTCCTGTAACACAAGTGGATGCATTGATCTAGCAAAATGAGATGAACCCAAACCATTATAAGCAATAAACTCACTTCATTCACTTGGATTCTAATCACATCTTTAGAATTGAAATTTGGCTTCCAACTTCCATGTTCCTACAAGGAGAAAATGTACCACCTAATATTCAAACATTCCAACACCTTTCCTTTGTCAATTATATTTCTTTTATTATAAATCAACAAATTTGCATGTTGTCACATAGTTGTCTTGCATGGGTTTGGTTACTGTGATCCCTTCTCCTGACTCCAATCACATCCAGCTATGGAGACAAATATAAATTTCTTGATCTGTGAATCAACCTCTGGTCCTTGATTTCCCCAGACAAGTATTTCTACCCACTGAGGCCTGACCTTAACAGCCAGCCAGTCTCTTTAGACAGCAATTATAGCCAGTCTGTTTCTAACTATTGCACTGTATTTATAGGTTGAAACTTTTTAAGTAGAAACTAGATATCAACAGGGCTGCCTAGGGTATTTCTGAATGATGAAGACAATGAGGATGATGATGATGTCAACAATGGGAGAGAAAATTGTCTGGAAAGAGCATGCTGTTACTTTCTGGAATTATGAAAATATTTTATTCCTTGTTTGGGGTGGTATTTACCTAGCTGTTTGCAATTGTGAAAACTCATGAAATTAAAAACTTAATTTCTCGTGTTTTCTTTTATGCAGATTATATCTCAATATGTTCAGGCAGTAGAAATAACTATGAGATTTCTTCTTCTTAAATAAAATGGAAGGCCAGGCGCGGTGGCTCATGCCTGTAATCCCAGCACTTTGGGAGGCCAAGGCAGGTGGATCACTTGAGGTTGGGAGTTTGAGACCAGCCTGACCAACCTGGAGAAACCCCATCTCTACTAAAAGTACAAAATTAGCCAGGTGTGGTGATGCATGCCTGTAATCCCAGCTACTTGGGAGGCTGAGGCAGTAGAATCGTTTGAAACTGGGAAGCGGAGTTTGCAGCGAGCTGAGATCGTGCCATTTCACTCCAGCCTGGGCAACAAGAGTGAAATTTCATCTCAATAAATAAATACATACATACATACATAAAATGGATTGTGAAGATTTGAATATGGACTATTCAATTTGTGGTATAATTTTTTGTCATATTTGAAGAATTTTCTTCACAGAGAAGCTTTAGGTTTACAAAAAAAATGGGAGGAAGGTATAGATATTTTCCATATACTCCTGTCCCCACCCATGCATAACTTGTATTATCAGCATCCCCCACCAACGTGGTACACTTGTTACAGTTGATGAAACTTCATTTACACATCATTATCACTCAAATACTAGTTTATATTAGGGTTTATTCTTTGTGTTTTACACTCTGTGGCTTTGACTAAATGTATAATGAGATGTTTCTATCATTATAGTATCATACAGACTTATTTTCACTGACCAAAAAATCCTCTGTTCTCTGCCGATTCATTTTTCCCTGACCACAACCCCCTGACAATCACTGGTGTTTTCACTTTCTCTATAGTTCTGCCTTTCACAGAATGTCAAATAGGTGAAATCATAGCGTATACAGCCTTGTCATATTGCCTTTTTCCATTTGGTATTTTGAATTTACAGTTTGTTCATGTCTTTTCAAGGCTTGATAGTACACTTACTTTTAGCACTGAATAATAGTCCATTGTCTGAAGGTACCACAGTTTATTTATCCATTCACTTACTGTAGACCCTCTTGGTTGTTCCCTCCCAAGTTTTGAAAATTGTGAATAAAGATGCTGTAAACATCTATGTGCAGATGGATGTTTTCAGCTTCTTTGGGTAAATACCAAGGAGAATGACCGCTGGATTTTATAGTAAAAGCATCTTTAGTTTTGTAAGAAACTTTCAGATTGTCTTCCAAAGGCACTGTGTCATTTTGCAGTCCCCAGCAATGGATGGGACTTCTTCTTGCTCCACATGTTCAACAGCATTTGGTGTCATCAGGGTTTAGAATTTTGGTCATTCTAATAGGTGTGTAGTGTTATCTCATTATTATTTAAATTTATATCCCCTTGATAACATCTGATGTGGGACATCTTTTCATGTGCTTATTTGCTCTCTGTATATCTTCTTTGGTTAGGTGACTGTTACGGTTTTTGGCCCATTTTTAAAATGAGTGGTTTGTTTTCTTATTGTTAACTTTTAACAGATCTTTGTATATTTTGCATAGCAGTCCTTAATCAGATGTGTCTTTTGTGAGTATTTTCTCCCAGTTTGTAGCTTGTCTTCTCATTCATTTGACACTGTCTTTCTCAGGGAAGAAGTTTTTAATTTCAATGAAGGTCAGATTATCAATCTTTAAATGAATCCTACTTTTGATGTTGTATCCAAAAAGTCATTGCCATACTCAAGGTCACCTAAGTATAATTGTTTTTAATAGAAATCATATTTTTGAAAAAGAAATATAGTTAAATTATATCATTTCACATTTTTTATCAATGCTTTTAGCTCTTCCAAACCATTATGAAATAGTTGTATTTTTATTGTGTTATAAAATCAAATCATAATTAAGCTTTTCAAATGCAAAGCTAAAAAATGAAATAGCATAACCTTTTGAATCGAATTGAATAGTTCAAGATCTCTATGCTCTATGTTCAAGCATTATGTTAAAACTGCTGTCTTACTATCTACAGAATTTTCTAATTAGCCTAAAGAGATTTTTATAATTTACCTATAAATATATTTTGAGAGGGAGTGATAATAAAATCAAAATAGGTCAAGATATCCAAGTAACTTTATTGAGATGTCAAGTGGCATCCAGCAGAAGGTGAAGAAGTCACAGAGTTACATCATAGAAGGCCTTCCTGCTGTGCTATTTCCTTCAACAGAAAAAGAAGCTTTCATCCTCTAAGGCTTCCAGCATCTGCTGAAACTACTTTGAGTAATTCAATCTTGTAAAAATTATTTCTGCTACGTATACTTATCTAACACATAAGTATACTTATAAAAAAATAAAACCTTGGGCCCACTTGAGAAACTAAATTATATTTAGTAAGGAGATCAATTTTGCACACCTTGGCTTATTGTGCTCTATTTAAAAACATATTTTCAAAACGTAGCTCTTTTTTTTCCCTGTCATACACTTGGCTTCAGTCATTTTGCTGTAATTAAACATGATAAGTACTTCCCCATGTTAGTAAGGCCTGTGAATTTCCTTCTGCTTGAAATGGCTCATCTTCCAGATGCCTACATGGCACAAGGCCTCCTTTAGTTCCTGTCTCTACTCATGCACTGCATCACTTTCTCCAAGAAATCTACTTCACCACTGTCTAAAATAGCCCACCACGCATTCCCTCACATCTTATCCCCTCCCTTTTTGTACATAATACATATCACTACCTGATATATTACATCTTCATTTGTTTATTCAAAAAATGGACTTTGTAGACTTTTAAAAAACTGTAAAATATAGTCTTCAACAAATAGTATGCTTTGTTTCTATTTTATTGTGGTATAATTTACATTCAGTGAATTGCACTGATCTTAAATATTACTGTTCAACAGTTTTGATGAATGGCTACACCAGTGAAACCTGCTATACTGAGAGGACAAAGAGCACATATACTTCTCTTCCCCAACCACTATCTACCCCACCCTTTCCATAAAGGAATACAGGTAGCCTGATTTATTTCACTATTGTTTACCTGTTACAGAACTTCATATAAATGAAATAATACAGTATATCAAGTTTATGCTACATGTATATTATCTAATGGTACCTTTTTCTATTTTAAATATATAGAATAGCAAATATGAGAATATTTTTAAACTCATCATCATCATTCTAAATTGTAAACTCAATCATCAATAAAAATTAAGATCTTAGTAAACCTCACAAACCATTTTGTAAAAAATTTTTGATTGCCATTTTGTAGTCTGTAATATATGATTTATTTTTGAAATGTGGGAAACAGATTCAAAACCTAGTTTCAAGGAATAATCTATAAAAATTGCTCTAATATAATTTTAAATTATTTATTTTGGAACAATCATAATGTTTTCAGAGACCATAGAATTTTAGCACAATATCCTGATATTTAAAAAATAAAAGAAAAAAAGCAAAACCCAAGAAATTAAAAAACTACATATGCTAATACAGAGTCAATATATACTTGGATAGTTTGTTATTACTATTGAACTTTTTATAAAATTAAAGTATATATATGAAAACAGAGAATTTACTAAAAACTATACTGTGAAGAAAATATGTAAAGCAATATTCTTGCACAATAGGCCATTCAATTATCGGTGGGTTTTAATCTCATTTTTTATTTGATCATGCTTATTGCTTAATGGTCATAGAAATGTTCCTTTATCAATTTTCATGGGAAAGTTTTGCAGCAGAGAAGTTCCCTAGAATCAACATGTCTTAGATGTTTGTAAAATAAGTGATTTCTTTTTCCAAAATGTTAAAATCATTAGTACACAAAAGTCATTACTACGTTAATTTATTTTAAAGTGTTCCATTTCAGTAAGCAGGTATTAAGGAAGTTGGTGTTGGGATAAGATAATTGTGCCAAAGTAAATTCTTAATGGAGTTCATAAGAGAGGAAATACAGTAACTGTTCTACTCCAAGGTTGGCTTTGGGGGATTTTTCAAACCAACTTAAAAGTCTTGGATGTTATATCTGACTGGAAATTATTTCTACTCCCTGAGAATGAACAACATGCTGGCAACAGTGAAATAAGGAAGCTTGAAAAAGGGAATGAGTTATTCTATGAAACAGTCTGTCCTATACATCAAGATTCTTTTAGTTTCTCACTCAAGACTTTAAGATACACAAAAATCTTGCCGCAAGATTTCTCGTAGGTGGTGTGACCTCAGTATACGTTGAAGTCAGAGATTACATTGGGTTCTAACAACTCAGGGTTTTTAGATAAGATCTAAAGTTAAAAGCTATAAATCAGACCTCTAGAGGAGGGCTACATTGGTCCAAATTTTCATGAGGAATAGACTCTCTTTGCCAATACAATTAGGGGTGTGTGTGTGTGTGTGTCTGTGTGTGTGTGTGTTTGTGTGAATGCGTTTATCTCACTGTCTCGGGAGTATGTAATTGTGTGATAGGTGGAAATTCATAAGGAGAATGGATCAACTACAAGTGGTCATGGGTAGTGCCATGTGGAACCATACTGGAGCCTAAGGCAAAAGGAAAGTGTCTGGCTATATACGTGACTTCCTGTGCTTTTTAATGGTTATTTTTCTCAGAACACAAAAATAGTTTTAAAAAATAATGAAAACCTGGAAAGTAGAGTATTGAAACATACAATCTAGTTTTTAGGTTTAAATATCTCATTTATACCTAAACCTGAATATATTATAATATTTTCAAAATGTACTCTTTTGCTTACTCATTTTTAATTGAGAGAATTGCTATGTTTGACAATTTCTCTTGACAAATGTCTTGATTAACTTTTACTTAATTTCAACTTACTGATCCTTTCTTTTAGATTTTGATAAACTATTTCTTGTGGGATTTTCACATTGGATTTCTATTTTTTAAATATTGCATTGGAATATATTTATTCTATTATTAAGTTGTGTTGGCATTCCTTAAATTCTGCACCCGAAGAAAGTGCTTCACTTGTGTCCATTTTTTTTCCTTTCTTTTTTGAGATGGAGTCTCTCTCTGTTGCCAGGCTGGAGTGCAGTGGCGTGATCTCCTCTCACTGCAACCTCGGCCTCCAGGATTCAAGCAATTCTCCTGCCTCAGCCTCCTGAGTAGCTGGGATGCAGGCATGTGCCACCACGCCTGGCTATTTTTTTTTTTCTTTTTTTTTTGTATTTTTAGTAGAGACGGAGTTTCACCCTGTTGCTCAGGCTGGTCTTGAGCTCCTGGCCTCACGATTCACCTGCCTCCGCCTCCCAAAGTGCTGGGATTACAGGTGTGAGCCACTGTGCCCGGCCTCACTTGCATCATTCTAGTTGCAGCCCTGATGATGAATTCTTAGGTTTGACCTTGGATTGTGTGTATCCAAAGTGAGGCAAAAGCCACCAGAAATGAGATCAAAGAACTGAGAGCCCAATGCCCTAAAACAGACTTTCCATGTAGACAGCAAATGCACAACGATTATAAGAGGAACTGATGTAGAGTGGAGGGCCTCGAGCCAGAAATTTGAACGAGGAGAAACTACTGGCAAGACAGGAGATGCAAGCAACAACAAAGTTTTGGGGTACCTGGGGCTTAAAAGAGCAGAGATCTTGGCAAATGAGAAGATACCAGTCCCACCCTCTTGCTCTGAGGTGCTGAAGTACGAGACAATAGACAAAATTTGAAAAAAAAAAAAAAAAAAAAAAAAAGCTGCAAAGAAATGGTTTCCTGGAGGAAAGCATGAATGTCTTAAATATAATGGGCTTTCTGTTCAGTATTTCAGTATCTGGTAAATCTCATCATTAGAAGCAATGCAGAAAATTAATATATTACCTTCACAATACCCTCATTAGAACACAATTATAACAACCGAAAAGGCAATGTACTAACCCATGAGGACTCACTTAACTCATTACAATGGTTTAGTGAGCTATATTGAGCTTAAAACATATGCTGGAATGGAAATAAAAAAATGAAAACCCTGAAAAATAAGCTCTTCAGAGGTTTAGAAATGAAATGGGAGTGATGAATAGCTAGGAGCAAGGACATGGGAGTATACATGGTGCCAAGAGAGAAGGTATCATTTTACTAAACACATACTTCACCTTTTTCACATTTCATCTAATTTTAGCAGCTTAAAAAAAGCTTTTGTTTTTAGCTTAGACAGAAACTCTTAGGCTTTGGACCCATGTTCCAATTCTATACATCAAAAATTGTGAAAATTTCTAGAGGGAATGATGGCAGGACTTCTCAGAAGGTTGGAAAATGGAGGGTGTGAGTTGAAGAACAGTGGTTAATGACAAAAATTGTAGATGAGGTCCACCTGATCACAAATCATTTCTAAAACCATATTTGGGGATTTGGATAATTTATTTGCACTCCTAAACCTCTGTTTCTTCATCAATAACTGGGCATAATGATACTACTCAGGTTTCTTATGAGAATTAGATGACGAAATACCGTGTTTGTCATGTAGGAAGGTATAATAAATTTTACACCTGCCTACATGACATATATGGTATAATTAATTTATAATTAATAACTTGACTTTTATAACTAATTTACTGACAATTACTTATTGAGTACCTGCTATGTGTTAGGGTAAAGCAATTCAAGAACCTAACTGAACTCCTGATATTTGTGGCTTTTACATTCTAGCAGGTGTGCCATAATGAGTGATATTATTTATAACATCAAACGCTAGGAGAATCACAAAGAGCTGACTCCACCTTGAGTTTGCCTTCTAGAAACAGAAAAATAGCATGAATCCTAATTTTCACAAAGTAGATGAAGATATTCAATTTGATACTTTAAGAACTTTCCAAATGAACTAATTTGAAAGGAAAACGAAAAGAGAGGATTGAAAGAATTGTCATTCCCTGTTCAAATATTTAATCTTGTCAAGTTCTCTTTAAATTTGAGTGGAGGCAAATTCCTGAAGATCAAGCACCTGGCCTATGAAAATGTATTAAATATGTTTTGATGATAATTTCAGTGATCATAGAAGGCATTTCCAAATGGAATCCATTACACTGCTTCAAGTATTATTACAATGAGTTCTAGTTCTTTCACTAGGTTAATAGATTAATAAGTTTTATTATCTTGCTTGTAGAAAGCATTGAAAATTCCCAAGGAAGAAAAAATAAGTTCAAACAAGTAACCAGAAAAATAAAAGAGAAAAAGGATAATTCACTTCTCTATTGTAATTTATGTGTTTCTTGTATGTGGGATTAGACCCAGCAAAGCTAAAAGAGGCAACTAAAAGCTCAGCCCCAGTGCTAATTTTGTATCCTTGAGGAAATCACATACCCTTTCAAGTTTTAATTATTCATCTGCAAATCCAAGATTATAAAATGACCTCATATTCTAGTTGACAATGTTTTTATATCAATATTTTATTTCTTTACTTTTTCCTCATACTGTGCCTTGCTTCTCCTTTATATGTAAAGTTTACATATCAATTTATACATGCGTATATATAATTTTTCTATCAATTTCAGGAGTGGATAAAGGATGTCTTTGACCCAAATTCTTGCCAAATCTCCTTCCAAGAGAAGTATTGCCTATTATACTCCAAATGTACAATACCATAGCATTAGTTTAGTAAAAAACAATATGTCTTGTTTCTCCTTTATTTTTCTTGATGTTTTCATAATTTTAATAAAAAACACTTAACCAAAGTGCTGAGGCTGTGTTTACAATAAGGTATTTTTAAATTTTATCTCTCCTCTACCAACACATACACATAAATTTAGGAGGAAAATAAGATTAGGTAGCATCAATTTGGTGCTAATGAAAATGAAACCAGCATTGATATTTTCTAAATCTAATAATGCATGCATTTTGAATAGTTTTCTTTGACTCATTTCCCCTGAAGGTGAATTCAGATTCTTTAGGCATTTTCCCAAAAATAATTTTTAACTCTCTGCCTTGTAGTGAAATTTTCCAAATTGAAAAGCCATGTAGAATACACTGCGAACAATTTTACAGCCTTCATTAATATATAAGTCAATGTCTAGGTCACAGCTTCTATTAGGTAGCCTTATCTTTATCGATAGTTTTCCCCAACTTCAGATTCTGGTAATTGCATGACTTACCCTACCCTCTCTGTGTTTAAATCCTAGATTAAAGGAGGAAAACAGCGTCCTGTGAACACTAGCCTCAGGTGCTGACAGCATCATCCTTTGTAGCAGTCCCTGCACCTTATCCTTACTTAGTAAATAATCCTTTATTTAAAAAAAATTTGTTTGAGTTCATTGTAGATTCTGGATATTAGCCCTTTGTCAGATGAGTAGGTTGTGAAAATTTTCTCCCATTGTGTAGGTTGCCTGTTCACTCTGATGGTAGTTTCTTTTGCTTTGCAGAAGCTCTTTAGTTTAATTAGATCTCATTTGTCAATTTTGTCTTTTGTTGCCATTGCTTTTGGTGTTTTAGACATGAAGTCCTTGCCCATGCCTATGTCCTGAATGGTAATGCCTAGGTTTTCTTCTAGGGTTTTTATGGTTTTAGGTCTAACGTTTAAGTCTTTAATCCATCTTGAATTAATTTTTGTATAAGGTGTAAGGAAGGGATCCAGTTTCAGCTTTCTACATATGGCTAGCCAGTTTTCCCAGCACCATTTATTAAATAGGGAATCCCTTCCCCATTGCTTGTTTTTCTCAGGTTTGTCAAAGATCAGATAGTTGTAGATATGTGGCGTTATTTCTGAGGGCTCTGTTCTGTTCCATTGATCTATATCTCTGTTTTGGTACCGGTACCATGCTGTTTTGGTTACTGTAGCCTTGTATTATAGTTTGAAGTCAGGTAGTGTGATGCCTCCAGCTTTGTTCTTTTGGCTTAGGACATGAACAGACACTTCTCAAAAGAAGACATTTATGCAGCCAAAAAACACGTGAAAAAATGCTCATCATCACTGGCCATCAGAGAAATGCAAATCAAAACCACAATGAGATACCATCTCACACCATTTAGAATGGCAATCATTAAAAAGTCAGGAAACTACAGGTGCTGGAGAGGATGTGGAGAAATAGGAACACTTTTACACTGTTGGTGGGACTGTAAACTAGTTCAACCATTGTGGAAGTCAGTGTGGCGATTCCTCAGGGGTCTAGAACTAGAAATACCATTTGACTCAGCCATCCCATTACTGGGTATATACCCAAAGGACTATAAATCATGCTGCTATAAAGACACATGCACACGTATGTTTATTGCGGCATTATTCACAATAGCAAAGACTTGGAACCAACCCAAATGTCCAACAATGATAGACTGGATTAAGAAACTGTGGCACATATACACCATGGAATACTATGCAGCCATAAAAAATGATGAGTTCATGTCCTTTGTAGGGACATGGATGATATTGGAAAACATCATTCTCAGTAAACTATCGCAAGAACAAAAAACCAAGCACCACATATTCTCACTCATAGGTGGGAATTGAACAATGAGATCACATGCACACAGGAAAGGGAATATCACACTCTGGGGACTGTTGTGGGGTGGGGGGAGGGGGGAGGGATAGCATTGGGAGATATACCTAATGCTAGATGACGAGTTAGTGGGTGCAGTGCACCAGCATGGCACGTGTATACATATGTAACTAACCTGCACAATGTACACATGTACCCTAAAACTTAAAGTATAATAAAAAAAAAAACTGAAATTGGCCTGTTTTATTATTTCTCGTCAGTTCTTTGATTTAATAAACCAGATAAAATCTCATTATAACTAATTCCTAATATTAGCCAAGTTATTTTATTAAAAATAACTAAGACAGAAAAAAATTGGCTTCAATATTTGGTTATAATTTTAGAATATGAGATTACAAAGAAATTGTATTGTACTCATGATGTTGGTAGCAGGGTTTAACAATATATCTTGGGAAATAAAATATTTCCATCTATATCAGAATGATATCTAGATGCTTGTGTTTCTCTTAATCTTTTAAAGCTTCTTTTTAAATGTCTTGTTCTACTGGGCTTACTCTACAGTGCAGGTAGATATATTGAAAATTCCTAATTTTTCAATATATGAAAGAAAAAAGCAAAGAAAAGAAATATCAGAACAAAACAGGTATTTAGTAATAAACAAGTCAACTGCTTTCTTAAAACTAGAGTTGTAAATTAGTTCTCAGACACTTCCACATAAGAGTCACATGACACTTACTAATTTTAACAGAAGGCTAGCCCTGAAGCAGTGACACATGTTTTTGTGCCATATTTAATTCCACACAACATTGATTTTAATGGGAATTGCTAGGGAGTAACTACAGTTTTGCCCATGGTCATCAAAGTCACTACAACATGTCTTCAGGAACTATATAGTCAATTCATCGCCCTGGCCAATGGCCAATTTGTAAGTTAGATACATATCTTTTACCTTGTTATTAAACAAACAAACAAACAAACAAACAAGCTCTATTCTTCTAAGTGAGTTGGTTACATTTAAATTATCATTTATCTATGTATGTACGTATGTATCCATCTATCTATCTATCTACCTACCTATCTATCTATATCTTTTGCTGATGTAGAACTGCTGCTTTTCCAGTTGTATCCAAGTAAAGTTCCATATCAATGCAATGATCCCTTTTGTACAGTTATTAAGTATAAGTTTTCTATAAAAATTAGCATTGGATATGTAGACTACTCATGTAGTTAGCGATTTAAGTTAAGACCAGACTTGGAGAAATAAATATTAAGTCAGAATGAAAATCACTGATCAGCTGACATCCTCCTTTAAAAGTGAGAATATTTCCCACAGAATACTAATCATTTAAAGACAACTTGCTGTAAATGAAAGACAAAGATGAATAAAGCCAAACACTGGTATGCTGCAGGGCAAGATCTTTGTATATATTCTATCCGGTATTTGTTTTTGAAAATTATCTTTATTCATGTCATGAAATTATCAAAGAAAAGAGTGATAAAGGATCTCTGGGTTATGACAGCACTTCTCCTGCGATTTTTTTAAATGTAAGGAATTCAGTCAGACTCAGTCAGTCTAAAAAGATGCAAATTCTTGGGAATTGTATCCAGATCAGATAAAACGTTGGACACTGGTTAACACAGTATGGTCCACGTCACTGACTCTCACAGTTACAGTGTAGTAATACATCAGATTATTTGCCAAAAATGTCCAGTGATGTTTGTTCCATTAGTACTCAAAGTAAAAGAGTGCATCTATTCTCTCAAGTAATATTGAATGTACAGTGTGTTTCAGACATTTGTGAAAAAAATACATTGGTAGTTCCGCTCTTGAGGAGTACGCAATCTGTTAAAGACCACCAAGTTATTTTTTTTTACTGGAAGTCTTTATGCAAAGATAGAGAAAAATGTCTACATTGATGGCTGAACACCTAGGGGATTGAGGTGTAGTGAAGATAAAAGAAGAGCACAGAATGTATACCTGAAAGACCTGAAGAAAATTTTAATTTCTTTTTTTTTTTTGAGACAGTCTCACTCTGTCCCCAGGCTGGAGTGCAGTGACGCGATCTCGGCTCACTGCAACCTCTGCCTACTGGGTTCAAGTGATTCTCCTGCCTCAGCCCCCTGAGTAGCAGGGACTATAGGCGTGCACCACCACGCCCAGCTAATTTTTTTTTTTTTTTGTAATTTTTAGTAGAGACGGGGTTTCACCATATTGGCCAGGATAGTCTCGATCTCCTGACCTTACAATACACCCGCCTCGGCCTCCCAAAGTGCTGGGATTACAGGCGTGAGCCACCGCTCCCGGCTGAAAATTTTAATTTCTTGACCCATATTCTTCAGTTCCCTCTAAACTATGCTTTCAAGAATAATGTAAATGCAAGTTAAAAATGTAGTGTCCAACTGTTCTCACATTAAGAAATCAGGGTTACATTTGGTGAGAATACAAAAAAGGAAAAAAAAATAAGTCAAGATTAATTGATCATATTAATTTCATGGTATCACTCCACGAAAATCCAGAATAATTAAATTAAAAACAAAAGTTCAAGGCAAAGCATTGCTACAAAAATTTCTTATAATAATTAATTTACTGGTTATGCCCCTTACAGGAGTCAGGAAACAGGTTAGATTCCTTACCCAGTGTGCCCACTAATAGTCCCTTTATAAAACCATCTCCTGGAGGCACTAGTCCTCCCTCAGAAGAACAGTAGGTGAAGGAGTTCTCTGGTTTCTGGCCTTGAGGCCAGTTCCTGTTTAAGCCTAAATAAATGAATAAATAAATAAATAAATAAATAAATAAATAAATAAATAAATATTCCTCTTCCAAGAGGCATCTGGCAGTTCCCCTTATCCCTGATGAGTCCTTCTTAAGACCATGTCGAATTAAGTTAAATGAATCGAAAGTAAATTAGGATTAAATTGTATAACATTGATTCATACATTGCCTTGGATGATTTATATACATTTGGAAAGTTTAATACTTTATCACAATGGTTAAGTTTTAATGCAAAATAAAATTATCTATGTAGTGTTTTAAAATGTTGATTAGCCTACTCCTTAGCCTTTTTGAAGTACTTTTTAAATTTCTGGTGTAAATTCTGGCATGTAGTTCTTTAAAAAAATCCTGCAGGAAGTTTTTGTGCCTTTCAAAGTTTGAGGGCCCCTAATCTTGGGCATACAAATCAGTCTTTCTTCTGATTAATGTGGCATTGTCCATCATTTTTATAAATATGAGTCTCAAACCCTTGATTGATAAAGAAAATGCTCATTATAACATTGTGACATTTGGAAAAATTTAATATTTTGTATTTTTAATATAAATTAATTCTTTCAGAACTATTAACCTTATAGGAAAACACTAGAGAGAATGATTTTAGCAGATTTTTGTAAGAACTCATCTCCTAAGGTTTAAGAAATACCTACATGGTTTAAAATAGTAATTATAAACATAGTAATTTTAAAATAAGATACTATTTTGTTTAGGTCTTCCAAGTCAGTTAGCTGGTGTCAGTTTTATGGTCAGAATGACAAAAATATATAATAAAAATGTGCAGCTCATTTAGCTGTTGAAGGCTAATGAACAATTAAAGCATTCCATAAGAACTTAATCTCACCCATTTTTTAGTCCTATTTAAATCTGCTCCTCCTTTCCACAAAGTTCGAATGGCATAAATTATTTAAGTCATATACAAAGGGAACCCAATCAGGCTGGCAGAAGACTTCTCAGTAGAAATCTTGCAAGCCAGAAGGGATTAGGGGCTTATTTTCAACACTCTAAAAGAACTTAAACTAATAATTTCATATTCCTCCAAACTTAGCTTTGTAAGGAAGGGATAAATAAAGTATTTTCTAGACAAGCAACTGACAAGGGAATTTGTAATCACTAGACCAGCTTTACAAGGCAACCTCAGCGGAGTCCTAAACATGGAAAAAAAGGACAATTTCTGCCACCACGAGAACACAATTAAATACATAGTCTGCAGACCCTATAAAGCAACCATATAATAGAAACTACAAAGCAACCAGCTAGCAATTTCACAATGGGATCAAAACCTCACATATAAATATTAACCTTGAATTTACATGGTCCAAACACCCCACTTAGAAGGCACAGACTTGCAAGTTGTATAAAACACAAAGACTCATCCATCTGCTGTCTTCAAGAGACAGAACTCCCATGTAACAACACCCATAGTTCAAGGTAAAGGGTTGGAGAAAGATGTATCATGCAAATGAAAAACAAAAAAGAACAACAGTCACTTGTGTTAGATAAGACAGAATTTAAACCAATAATAATAAAAAAGGATAAAGAATGTCATTAAATAATGACAAAGGGTTCAACTCAACAAGTAGACTTAACTATCTTAAATATGCACACACTCAATATTGGAGCACCCAATTCATAAAACAAATACTTCAAAACCTATAAAAAGACTTAGGCACAAAACAATAATGGGAGACCTCAACACATCAATGACAGCATTAGAGAGATCATCAATGCAAAATAACAAAATAATCCTGGACTTAAATTTGACACTTCACCAGTTGGACCTAGTAGACGTTACAGAGCACTCTACCCATCAACCACAGAATATACATTCCTCTCATCTGCACACAGAACATACTCTAAGGGTGACCACATGCTCAGCCATAAAGCAAGTCTCAATAAACACAAAAAATTAAAATCATATCAACCATACTCTTGAACCACAGTAGATTAAAACCAGAAACCAATACTAAGAACATCTCCCAAAACCACACAATGACATGCAAATTAAACAACTTGCTCCTGAAGGACTTTCAGATAAACAACGATATTAAGGAAATTTATAAAATTATTTAAAATGAAGACACACAACATTTCAAAATCTCTGAGATGCAGCCTATACAATGTTAAGAGGAACATTTACAGCACTAAGTGTCTACATCAAGAAGTTAGAAAGATCTCAAATTAATGATCTAACATTACACCTATGGGAACCGGAGGAAAAGGAACAATCTAAACCTAAAGCTAATGAGAGGAAAGAAATAACTAAAATCAGAGCAGAACTGAATGAAGTAGAGACCCAATAATCCATACAAAAGATCAACAAGACCAAAAGTTGGGACTTTGAAAGCATAAACAAGAGAGATAAACCTCCAGCTAGATGAACAAAACAAAAAAGAGAAGATCCAAATAAGCCCATTCAGAAACAAGGATGACATTACAGCCAAACACATGGAAACCGAAAAGATCCTGAGAATATTATGAACACTGGATGCACACGAACTAAAAAATCTAGAGGAAATTGATACATTCATGAAAACATACAACCTCCCCAAATTGAATCACAAAGAAATTGCAACTCTGAACAAATGAATCAGTCATAAAAAACCCTATGAATCAACTAATGTCCCTGACCAGGTGGACATAATTCACAGCCAAATTATAGCAGAAATACAAAGAAGTCCTACTACCAATTCTACTGACACTATTACAAAAAATTAAGGAGGAACTCCTCTGTAACTCATTCTATGAAGCCAGCATCACCCTGATACCAAAACCTGGCAGATAAACAATGAAAAAAAGAAAAACTACAGGCTAATATCCATGATGAACATAAACACAAAAATCTCCAACCAAACACTAGCAAACCTGATCCAACAGCACATCAAATAGCTATACCATGATCAAGTAGCCTTTATTTCTGGGATGCAAGAGTAGTTCAACATGTGCAAATCAATAATGTGATTCACCACATAAACAAAATTAAAAACAAAAACCATGTAATTATGATCATCTCCATAGATGCAGAGAAAGCTTTTGATAAAATCTAACATCTCTTCATGATAAAAATACTTAAAAAATGAGTCACCAAAGGAACATACCTAAAAATAATAAGAGTCATCTATGACAAACCTATAGCCAACATCATACTGAATGGGCAAAAGCGGGATCAATCCCTTGAGAACTGGAACAAAGCAAGGATGCTCACTTTCACTACTTCTATTCAATGCAGTACTGGAAATCTTAGAGCAATCAAAGAAGAGAAAGTAATAAAAGACATCCAGATATGAAAAGCAGTCAAACTATTTCTCTTTGCTGACTATATGTTTCTACACTAAGGAAACCTCAAAGACTCTGCTGAAAGGCTCCTGAAATGGATAAATGACTTCAGTAAAGTTTCAGAATAAAAATTCAACATACAAAAATCAGTAGCATTTCTATAATGTTCAAGTGGAGAGTCAAATCAAGAACACAATCACATTTACAATACCCACAATAAAAATTAAATGTCTATGAATACATCCAACAAAGAGGTGAAAGATCTCTGTAATAACTACACAATATTGCTGAAAGAAATAATAGATGACACACACAATTATAAATTCATTCCACACTCATGGAAGGTAAGAATGAGTATTACTCATGGTCATACTGCCCAAAGCAATTTACAGATTCAATGCTATTCCTGTAAAACTACCAATGCCATTTTTAACAGAAATAGAAAAATAGGATTCTAAAATATAGAACAAAAAATAGCCTGAATAGCTAAAGGAAGGTAAACAAAAAGAAAAAAGCCAGAGGCATCATATTATCCGACTTCAGCTATACAATAAGTCTACAATATCCAAAATAGGACGGTATTAATACAAAAACAGACACATAGACGTATGGAACAGAAAAGAGAACCCAGAAGGAAAGCTGCACACCTATAATCATACGATCTGTGACAAAGTTGACAAAAGTGAACGCTGGGTAATGTTCAATATATGGTACTCAAAAACTGGCTAGCCATATGCAGAAGAATGAAACTGGACTCCTACCTTTCACCATATAATAAATTCACTCAATTCACTCAAGATGGATTAAAGATTTAAATGTAATACTTCAAACTATAAAAACCCTAGAAAAAAACCCAAGCAACATCATTTTTGACATTAGGCTAGGAAAACAATTTATGGCTAAATCCTCAAAATCAATTGCAACAAAAGCAAAAATTGACAATTGGGACCTATTTAAATTAAAGAGTTTGCACAGCAATATAAAAAAATTTTAAAAAGATCAACAGAGTAAATAGATAACCTGCAGAATGGGAGAAAATATTTGTGAATTCTGCATCTGACAGAGGTCTAATACCCAGAATCTATAAAAAACTTAAACAAATTTACAAGAAAAAAATAACCCTATTAAAAAGTGGGCAAAGGACATGAAGAGGTACTTCTCAAAAGAAGACATACAAACAGCCAACAAACAAATGACAAAATATTCCATAAAGATTGTTAAGTTCCATTGGATCGCATGATAATTTCATTGAATCTGTGACTGGTAAAATTTACAGCTTCAGTAACACCAGATGTAAAATGAAGAATCTATATGTTGGTCAGGTTATAATCAAGACATTATTTTTCTTGTCATAATTACACATACTCTTTTATCATGTATTTTCTTGAGGAAATACATATATGCAAACAAAACGGTAGGTGCTCTTATTTTCTTTTTAAACAATACAATATGAAATATAAATGTACACTAGATGCCACCCAATTTAAGAAATAGAACATTACTGGCAAGGTGTGGTGTCTCACTCCCGTAATCACAACACTTTGGGAGGCTAAGGCTGGAGGATTGCTTGAGGCCAAGAGTTCAACTAGCATGGGCAATGTAGGGAGGCCCTGTCTCTACGAAGAAAATTAAAAAATATAGCTGGGAATGGTGGTGCACACCTCTCGGCAGGAGGATCACATGAGCCCAGAAGTTCAAGGTTACAGTAAGCTATGATTTTGCCACTGCACTCTAGGCAATAGAGCAAGAACCTGTTTCCAAAAAAATAAAAATAATGAAAATATTTGATCTAAAGAAAGGAATATACCATGTTTTCCTTTATTTAGCATATTAATAAAAACAATAAAGATACACATATTTCAGTTACTGGTATCTTAGAATATCTTGCATATATACAATCTGAGCTTTTTGATCAGGAAAAAAATTTAAAAGAATCTCTTGCATACCTTTTCTTACACTATCCTGAATTTTGCGTTATTACTTGCCATAGTTGATAGACAGACTATAATGTATGCACCCCTAAACAGTATATAGTTTTTCCTTTTTTAACTTTATGAAAATAAAATTATACCCTTGAATTTATACCCAAAAATTCTCATATGAAATATTTTATCCATGCAATTAACAAATTTAATCCAATGGCTATAAAATATAGACTATTATACCAAACAATTGAGGAATTAGAATGATTCTATAATGTCTTTTATTTACTTGTGCTACTTGGATAATTGTTATTTTCCTCCATTTTATTTTACTAAGTGGAGGGCTGGTTTATGTTACCTTTTCATGGAGAGGACAAAATTAAAGGTATCTCAAGGCAAGACTAGGTGTGGGCCTGTAGACAACACTAAAATGAATATAAGGAGAGAGATATGCTAGTAAGGGATACCACAATGGGCAAATGCTTTTATTTTTGACCTATGGATGGGAAGGGATACACAGACCTGTAGGGTTAATGGTATCCAAACACATAGAAATTCTAACATACAAGCATTCAGTAGATAAGATTATCAACTCCCAATTTCTACTAAAAAAAAGTTCATATGCTAATCAACCATATCAGTTGCTTCAATTATAAACCTCATTTACAAGTCTTAATAGAAAAGGAATTGATTTTTTTCTGCTTTCAAAGAGAAAATGAGTGAAAATAGACACCCTCTAAAGCATATTCAACACCTACCCAACAAACTTTCAAAGGTAGATCTATTTAGCTACCACCATTTACTTGAAGTTAAAATGGTACACAAAAATCTATTGCCTAAATGGTAGTCTTCATTTTATCATTTAAAATTAAGATTCGACTAAAAGATCAATAGAAAAATATTTGATCTAAAGAAAGAAATATACCATGTTTTCTTTTATTTAGTATATTAATAAAAACAATAAAGATACACATGCTTCAGAATGGAAAGAAAGGTGTTTACTTTTAACGGCAGAACATATCAATCACCTCATTATTACATAATATATTATTTAAGGTCAAGTGTAGATGCTCAAGCTTGTAATCCCAAAGCTTTGGGAAGCTGAGGAGAATGACTTGAGCTCAGGAATTTGAGACCACTCTGGGCAACATAACAAGACCCCATCTCTATAAAAAGGAAAACAATGAAAATAAAATTAGTCATGTGTGGTAGTGCCCACCTGTAGTCCTAGACCCTTGAGAGACTGAGGCAGAAGGATCACTTGGATGCAGGGTTTTGAGTCTGCAAGGCTGCAGTGAGCTATAATCATGCCACTGTACTCAGGCCTAGGTGACAGAGCAAGACCCTGACTTTTTAAAGGAACTGTATTTGCTTCTATTAAACAGGTCACAAACACTCTCAATAGTTTTTTTTCTCAAAGTTGAGATATATGGAACAAGTTTTTAAAATTTCACCATATTGATAAAATTATCCCCTAAATCTATCCAGGGTAATATATTATCCACAATAACATATTTTCATATCTTCTTTCTTTTACTCCTTACTGGTTTTCTACTGCTTCAATAATTTGTTTTTCTCTTTATTCTATCTTGATTCATGTCTAGTTCTTGTTTCCTATGATATCCTCCTTGTAATTTTAACCCAGTTCATCCCTCTAATCTTCCATTCAGTATCTCTCTGCTGTGTAGGAAGCATAACTGTGCTGAGTTCTTGGCTGGACCACTGAAATCAAGTAATGACTGAATATAAATCAGAATCATGGCTGTAAATAAAAAGAATGTGACCAAATGTCCATTAGCAATGATAGTCTAGTCATATAAAAATGTGGCTATTTTCAATTAATAAAACAAAACAAGGAAGAAAAAGTAAAGACAATGTCAGGAACGATGATAAGAATAAGCATGTAACAAGCAAATGGTAGGTTTGCTTCAACCAAATGGTAGGTTTGCTTTCATTACATGAAAATTTTACCAAATTGTACATATAAAGTCTTCTAAGAACAATATACAAATAACATTTTAGTATATAAATTGGCTCAAGAAAGTCATTTTTCAGGGACTCTAGATTTATAGGCTCTTTAAGTCTCTTTAAAACTGTAAATGACCCACAGAAGTTGGCTGCCCTAAAGGTTTAGATTAAATAAACCATCCAGTGCACAATTCAAATATAAGCTGAACAACCTTAATTGGAATATCTATCCTGTGCGGTTTTCCAGTTTCTGATTTGGTACTCCCCAAGTAGCAATTTCCTATGAATTACCGTTTCCCAACTAAGAGGTACAGAAATTCCCAGTTTCTTTAGGAGGCTGAATATTTTAAAACTTCGGCTTTATTAAGGTTTTCAACAAAGTTCTAATTAAACTACACTTCATTAATGGCTTACCCCCCTACCTTAGAATAAGGAGAGCTTTCTTACAATTATTAAAGCTAACCTTCAGAACTGTTGTTAATAACAAGACTAAGAACAATTTTTAATTTTTTTTAACTTCATAGCTGTAGGCTAACCAATAGTTAACAAATAATTCATTCATTTCATTGGCATCATCAGTCCTCCTAGCAATATGTGTTTTTTTTTTTTTTAATTTAAGACTTGGTGGGGGAGGCGGTGAGGACTGTGCAATTACTAGTCACTGTTTTCCCACTCATTGGTACTATTAGCTTAACAGATAAAACCACAGATAACAGCCGCAATCAACTTCAGCAGGTTCCCAGAGGCAAGCTCTTGCTTTTTGCTGATTAGCTTCATTCAATTATGTCTTCTTAATTGTTCATGTGCTACAGCTCATTAAATGAAAAATAATATTCCTTTCCTGTGGGTAGGGCACTTGAGATTTGAAAAATAGCCACTTCATCTCTGCCTCAGAGGCACAAGTAAGTTGATCTGATGGTGTCTGAAAAAGCTCAACAGATTTGTGCAGATAGCCCTGCCCGAGAAGGGACAATAAAATTAATAAAATTGATTGTTAAATCAAGTCAAAAATAAAATTACTCCCAGTATTTTCCTTTAAGATTAATTTTCAGGAAAATTAGACCCAGTTTTGTAGCATTTGATTATGTTCACCTCTGTAATATAATTTTCTTTGTAAAAAGATCAGTTATTGCTGTTCCATTACAGATGGGATTTAGGGAAAGTGGAGTAAATTTTTAAATTTTTCTGAAAATAGATTTTGACAGATTAAAAAGTGTGTCACACAATTTATTTATGAAATATTCTAGAAATGGAGAAGGTAAGTTTCATTCATTAAAATAGATTCATTGAGTACCTACTATGTTCCAGGCCTTTTGCTACACAATGAGGATACAAAAGGTCTTAACTTCAAGAGGTTTATTAGTCTGGTGGAGTAGAAATAATAATTCAATAATAATCCATTAGCTAATATATACTGGCTATTTACTAAGGACCTATAAAGTACTTGGTCGATATGTGTCACCTTACTTAATCTTTTTAACGATCTTATAACATAGACCATATCATATTTTTTATTATAGATGAACTAAGGCTTAGAAAAATTATATTGCTTCCTGATATCACATAACTAGCAAATGCTAAAGTTTAGTTTGGGACAAGATATGTATGACCTTGTAGCATTCCTATTTACAGGTACTCCTCAATTTACAGTTCCTATATGCATACATTTCAGTCACCATGTTTAGTTAAGTTAGACCAGTTACCCAGCTCAAGCGATTCTCCCACCTCATCCTTCTAAAGTGCTGGGATTACAGGCATGAGCCACCACACCTGGACGGATGTGCCATAGTTTGTAAAAGAGTTGAGAATGGCTGCTAGCTAGTAGAAAAAAATGGTGATATTAGAAACATGGGTATATTTTCAAATGAATTCCAAAAGTTTGAGAAAGTAATAGAATTTTTGTCTGTTTTGTTCTCTGTTATTTCGCAAACACAGATACTCAGTACATATTTTTGCTTTTTTTTAAGGAGATGAAAAAGTCTGACATGATTTTATAAAAAATAAAATTTCAAATTTCAGCTACCACAGTGTATTAACTGTAAGTAATTACATAAGTACAAATTTTGCTCCTTGCTCTTTGGTCCAAAATCATTATGTAAATAACAGGTGTGCTTCATGATCAGTGACCATTGGCATCATCTTTTTAAATGTCTGTCAGTGATTGATCACTACACATCTATTATTCATCACATGCAGACAGAAAAGTGTGCAGTTATGTTGTCTCTGTTTCCCATTGATAAACACAAGTGCCATTTCTTAAAAATAAATAATTGAAAGAATTGGCCAGAAAAGATAAAAGTACAACATAAAGTAAAACGTTGAGTCCAGTGAAAATGGAGCTACAGCAAAATCCCTGTGGGAATATTGACACTGCTGCCATCTGAGGAACTTAAGCTTTGCAGCCAGAACAACTTAGTGCAGAGGAGCTTATTGACATAAATGAAGAAAGTGGATGTGATGAAAAGGATGAAGATGTATCAGGCTAAGTGACGCCAGCAAAAACCCAAACACACAATAAAAAAAAAAAAGACTTACATTAAAGGAACTTACAGAGATACTTAACAATATTGAAAGCATCAAAGCATAAAGTGATGAAAGCTGATCCAAATTTAAGATTATGACAATTTGCCAAGGCATAAAACATTGCCCCCTTCATTGTAAGCCATGTAAGAAGAAATCAATCACTATTCAAACTATTAGTAAACATTTTTTAACAAACAAGTAAACTTTAAGTCTTTAACATCAATGTAATTAAGAGGGAATTGGCCAGCATATGTGAAAGTATAGCAAACAAATGAAAATAATGATGCAAAAAATAATAATGTAAGATATGAGTTGAATATAAACAGAGTTATAGAAAGAAAGAACTGACTTTAATTCTTTTATTCCCAGTGTAAATTCCAGGATGTTAAATGAATATGTTTTATAATTTATTTATTTTCCTACACATTTGTAAGTGACAGTAAAAGAGTTTCTAATATTTTGAAAAGAAATTAAAGGTTATGGAATAATATTTATTCTTGATTATTAAGATAAACTTGCATGATTTCAGCTGAGATTATCATGTTTATCATCCTTCACTACCATGTAAAGCGAGAAGTGTGGGTATTAACTTATTATCTGTTTGTTTAAAGTGAATGACACACAGCTTAGTGTTACATCAACAGAAAAATATTTAAGAGGAAATGACACTAAATCAATTTTAAGATAATGCTTCTATTATGTATGTTTCTGTATCGTCTTTCTAAACATAATTATGGAAAAGGCATCCCAACTGGTGACATAATTATTGCCAATAATATAATAGTAATGACAATATATTTGTTGGTCAATTAAAAGTAACTACATTAGCTTTGGTAAAACTACATTTTTCACTTACATGATTAAAGACACTTATCAGTGCTCTTGTGATCCTACTTTAAGATATACATCTTCATATTAATTTGTAAATGAAATGTGGGAGTTTTTCATAACCAACAGGTTTAAAGCTGTGTGAAGATATGTGAGGGAAATATATAGTTATGTCTGTAAGAATCAGTGATGTGCCATACTTTGTGTTTTGTTGTTATTGTTTTCTTGAGACAGGATCTCACTCTGTTGCCCAGCCTGGAGTGCAGTGGCATGATCACAGCTCCATGCAGCCTCTACTTCCCACTCAAGCGATTTTCCCACTTCAGCCTCCCAAGCAGCTGTGACTACAGTTGCATGTGACCACACCCAGCTAATTTCTATTTTTTGTAAAGACACGGTCTGACTATGTGGCCGGGGCTAGTCTTGAACTCTTGGGCTCAAGCGATTCTCCCACCTCATCCTTCTTAAGTGCTGGTATTATAGGCATAAGCCACCACACCTGGACTGATGTGCCATAATTTGTAAAAGAGTTGAGAATGGCTGCTAGCTAGTGGAAAAAAATGGTGATATTAAAAACATGGGTATATTTTCAAATGAATTCCAAAAGTTTGAGAAAGTAATAGAATTTGTGTCTGTCTTGTTCTCTGTTATTTCCCAAACACAGATACTCAGTACATATTTTTGCTTTTTTTTAAGGAGATGAAAAAGTCTGACATGATTTTATAAAAAATAATTTTGATGTTAGTAATCATTACTCAACATATTTTTGAAGAGTCTAAAGGAAATTTCCACTGTTTCAAAAGATCCCACCTTCCATTTCTCTCTATCTCATCTCCTAGCAATCTACCCTTCATTTATTGTACTCTAGTTGTGCTTATCTTTTTGGTCTTTATCAAACACAACAAATATTCTGAGACCTTAATATTTCTGTTCCCTCTCCCTGGAACACTATTCCTCAAGAAATAAAATTAGGTAATTATTTCAATCAAGCTGGTATTTAAACATCTTCTGCTCAAGGAGGCCTAGCTGATAATCTGTATTTAATGTTCCAGTTTTCCTATACTCTCTCTGAACCCCCATTGGCCATTCTATTTTGTTTTATCCATAGTGCCTATCACCTGTTGGCATATTATATGAACTCTTTGTTTATTAACTTATTTGTTAATTTTATTGTTTATCATTTATGTCTATCAATGGCATGTAGACTCTAAGAGAGCAGGCATATTTGTGTGTGTTATTCATTGATATTTCAAGATTACCAAACAGTGTCTGTCATATAGCAACCATTCTTTTTTTATTTTTTTCTGAGACAGAGTCTTGCTCCCGGGTTCACACCATTCTCCCACCTCAGCCTCCCGAGTAGCTGGGACTACAGGTGCCCACCACACCCGGCTAATTTTTCTATTTTTAGTAGAGACGGGCTTTCACTATGTTAACCAGGGTGATCTCGATCTCCTGACCTTGTGATCTGCCTGCCTCAGTCTCCCAAAGTGCTGGGATTACAGGCATGAGCCACTGTGCCCGGCCCGTTCATTACGTAAGAATAAAGAAATATCCCCTTGACATGAAATTCTGTGTATTGGAATAATATATATACCATGGCAATGAGCATTTGTCATTATCTTAGTCAGCAGTATATATTTTCCTAGACAATGAAAAGACTCCCAACTGGCCTTTTGTATGACAAAAAGAACTGCTAATCACTTTCCCAGTTTGGCTTTTATTTATCTCCAGATTAAAGTGTTATTAAGGATTAATTTAATGTTATTTTATTCCATTTAGTGAACTTTTAAACAATAAAACACTTTTATCTATGTTGTTTTGCACCCATATGACAATAAAGTGTTATCATGCCCATACTATAAGTAGAAAAACACAGGTAGAAAGAACATAACTGATTTGCTCAAAGTCATATAACTCAGAAGTGACCGAATACATTTGCCTGACTCCAAAACTTGGTCTGATTTTATCATCCCTTGCTGGCTGTCAGATCTGATATATCAGTCCAAAAATTACCTCTTGCTTAAACCGATGTTTTGGATGACTTTTGTAATTTTCTGCGTTCCATCATTTATTAGCGCCAATATATAAATGGTTATTTAGAATACAGAGGTTTACACATATTCGGGACCAACATTCCAAAAATGGCTTAAATATTTCTGGCAGCCTAATATTATCTACGGAGAATTATTTTCCTCAAGAACATTAGTGAGATGTGCTATAATAATGGTTGAGCAAAGTAGCACAACACTAGATGCTGTGTAACTCTGGGAACACCTTATTTCCTGCTCTGATAGAAATCTGTTAAAGACCCTCATCTGTTACAGGCAGAGAGAAGAGCAGAGTAAAAGTGCTTTGCCTACCTAAAGGGATTGTTGTAAGAATCTGATGAGTTAAACTGTGTGAAAGCATTTTGCACCCTCTAAATCCATACATTTACATGTGACTTCCCTGTATGACACAAGCTAACAAACAAACTAGAAACAAGCAAACAAAAAAAAACCGAGACACAAAAATAAAATATCTTTCTGTTACCTCATTTGGGAAGGGGTCTAAAAACCCAGAAATAATAGTATTTACATGTACATGTAGTTGGTAAACATTCAATGGAGTAAAAAGTAAATTAAAAATAATACCATTAGCAGAGGGGAATGTATTTTTACTTATGCATATATACCCACATATTGGATTTGTCTCTATTTCATCTGTAGGACCTAGCCACTAGCCAAATGCCCGAAGCCCCTAGAACCCCAGTGCCTAGTGTGGTATGCAGAAAATAATGCCCTGTTATATGTCCATTACCTAATTCCAAGAGCCTTGGAATATGTTACCTTACCTGGTAAAAAGGACTTTGTAGATGTGTTTAAAGTTAAGAACCTCCATATGGAAAAACTGTCCCAAATTATCTGGATAGACCCAATCTCATCACATTAGTTTTAAAAATATTAAACCTTCCTTGGCTGTGGTCAGGGAGAGAAATGTGATTGTAGAAGAATGGCAGGCAAATGTAACATTGCTAGTTTTGAAAACAAAAGGAGTCCAGAAGTCAAGGGACGTGGGTGGCCACTATAAGCTAGAAAGATCGAGAAAACTGATTCTCCCCTAGAGCCTCCAGAAAGTAGCATTACCTTGCCAATTTAACCTGATTTTAATCGTCAGACCTGTGTCAAGCATGTGACTTAGAGAAGTATAAGATATTACATTTGTGTTGTTTTAAGGCACTAATTTTGTGATAAATTGCTAAGACAGCAGTAGATAACTAATACAGCTAGAAAACAATTTTAAAATACATTTTAAAAAGAACTTCAACATGCCAATATCTAATGAATAAAACCAAAAATAGGATGAAAAATTAAAATGAAACTTAGAATTTTTCTATATTACATATTTGGGAAATTTGAATTATTTCATAATATTCTGATCTCAAAAATATGAAAAAAGTAGCTTGTCTAGTTATCATTCACCTGAAAGCAACTGTTTTAAACCTGTCATTACAATCTGATAAAAAGTAATATGTCTCATTCAGTCCCAACTACGCTCAACATGACCCAATCTTGTCAGAACCCAATGTGAAGCTTCAAGTGTACAGGAATTTACAATGACAATGCTCCATGGAATTTTCAATGACAATCAATGTTCCAAAAAAGCTATGACCTACACTTGAGGCTATCCCAAGGAGAAGCAAATATCATAGCAGCATCTTACATTTGTGAACACAGTGGTAAATATAGAGCATACAAAACCATGCATGGGTATTTTCTTCTGTTTTTAACAATGGATAATGAATGTCAAAAGTGATATTCAAACTAGCAATATGCAAGTTAAAATTAAATCCATAAAGCACAGCAAAATAAGCATTTGTTCCATTGTAGAGCTCACGTTTCCTTGAGCACTTATTTTCTTTCTTTTCCCTCCTCTCTGCTCCTGTCCCCTCCCCTCCCTCCTTCCCTTCCTTCCTCCTTTCCTTTCTTCCTTCGACTTCCTTCCTGACTTCCATTTTTCTTTTTTCAGCTTTATTGAGGTATAGCTGACAAGTAAAAATGAACATATTTAAGGTGTGCAACTTGATTTTTGTATATGCATACATTGTGAAATGATCATCATAATCAAGCTAATTAACATATCCATCACATCCATAATGTAAAACATATCTAATGTTGTACATTAGATATACTGTTACCATGCTGTACAATAGGTATATGCCACATTTTCCTTATTCATTTATCTGTCCATGGACACTTAAGTTGTATCCATACCATAGCTATTGTATATAAAGCTGAAATGAAAACTAAAGCAAATATCGATTCAAAATTATTTTATTTCCTTTGAATAAAGACTCAGAAGTGGGATTGCTGAAGCATTTGGTAGTTCCATTTTTAATTGTTAAAGGAATCTTCATATTGTTTTCCATAATGGCCACACCAATTTACATTCCCATCAATATGTCTTCCTTTTTCTCCACTTCCTTCACAAAATTTATATTTTGAAGTTTGATAATAGCCATTCAAACAGGAATGTGGTGATACATTTTTGTGGTTTTGATTTGTATTTCCTGATAATTAATGTCATTAATCTTTCATCTTTCATCTACCTATTGACCTGTCGTCTTTCATCTAGCTGTTTGCCATTTGTACATCTTTGGATTAATGTCCATTTTTGTAAATTTATTTTTCTATTGAGTTTTGTGAACTCCTTATATATTTTGAATATTACCTTTTATCAGATATACAGTTGCAAATATTTTCTGTAGTTTGTCTTTTCAGTCTGTTGATTGTTTCTTTTACTGTGCAGAAGCTTTTTAGTTTGATGCAATTCCACTTCTATACTTTTGTTTTTGTTGCCTGTGCTTTTGCTCTCATATCCAAAAAAATCATTGCCAGAACCAATGACAAGAATCTTTTTCCTGATGGCTTTTTGCTATTAGTTTTACAGTTTCAAGTCTTATGTTTATGTCTTTAATCCATTTTAAGTTAATTTTTATTTTTGTATGTGGTAAGAGCTTATCTTCATTTTTCTACATGTGGATATCCAGTTTTCTCAGCACCATTTATTGAAGAAAATACCTTTTCCCCAGTGTGTATTCTTGGTGCCCTTATTGTAGGCTGGTTTACTCTAAGTGCATGGATTTATTTCTGGGCTCTCTGTTTTCTTGCATTAATCTATATGTCTGTTTTTATGCAAATTCCACACTGTTTTGATTAGATTTGTAAATTATTTTGAAATCAGAAAGTGTGATGCCTCTAGCTTGCTTTTCTTGCTCATAATTGGTTTAGCTATTTGCTATTTGGAGTTTATTGTGGTTCCATATAAATTTTAGAATTTTTTTTCCTATTTCTGTAAAGAATGCCATTGGAATTTTGACAGGGATTGCATGAACCTGTTGATTCCTTTTGGCTAGCATGGCTACTAAAACAATATTAATTATTTCAATTCATAAACATTTATTTTCCATGGATGAATGTTTTTTCATTTATCTATGCTTTAACATTTTTCCTTGATTCCTCCTCCAAGATGGCCAACTAGATGCAGCCAGGAGAAACATCTCCCACAGAGGGACCACGACATCAGGAAGACGGGTGTACCCCTAGTAAATCTTCAGAGGGAAGGCATTGAGAGCAGATAGAGAGAAGATACAGAAGGTGGGATAAAGGGAGATGAAGCTGGGAATGCTGCATGTGGCTACCACACACCAGGACTCATTCCTGGCTCCCAGCAACTCCTGTGGAAGGGGTGAGTTGAACAGAAATGAGCAACTCACTCTCACCATGAGCCTCTGGAATCATAGCAGGAGGAGTCTTGTCAGCCACCATGGACACTTGAGTTGGCAGAGAAAGCTACTTAGTGAAGTGGTAGGGACAGAACTCCAGCTGCAGCAGAGCCCATGGGGTTTGGTGCAGGAGCATCTATAGTGGAGAACAGCCAGGGATGCCCATCCCCCTAGGCTTGATTTGCTCCTATAGTAGACATTAGCCCTAAGGAAAGGGGTGAACGTAGACTCTGTAGAGCAGTCTTGCCCATGAGATGAGCCAGGCCCCCTGAGCACCCTTTGGTGTGCTGTCTTCTCTTTGGGCCCCAGCCTGCCTGTACCTGCTAGCAGTGTACCCCCCCAGGCACCTCAAGGGGGCCTGCCTCATTGCTCCTGCACTGGTGGACTGCAGCTGACTGGGAGAGTGCTCCAGAAGAGCAAACCCTGTGTATACATATAAGACTGCCCATGTCCTCCCCACACTACAGCCTCCTCCATACTGCTTTGCTGGCAGGCACTCGCTGCCAGCGATCCCCATACATCTCTTTGCCTGTACATGTGTTTGCAGACAGACCTAGCCTTTCCTTCTCTGACAGTGCATGTGTACACATGTACCATGCCATGCCATGCCACTATTGCTGGCTTGAGTGTGCCCCATCCCTTCTCCCCCTGTTGCACTGCCATTTTTGTTGGAGCATTGGAGGGCATATAGTTTGACAGCTCTGCCACCACCAGTGCTCCACTCCTGTGCCAAAACTGCTGGCATGAAACTAAGCACAGAAAACAGTGTATCTACTCCCATCCCTGAGAGGTCACTGCTGTAAGCAAGAATGCTCACAGAGGGTGCACACAGTCCTGCGACCACTAGCGCCCCATCCCTGTGCTAACACCAGCACCAGTACAAATGTGCACACCATTGCCAGCAGGGCCCTCCACCTTCCCAAACCATACCGCCACAGCCACTACTACAAACACCCACATGGAGGCTGTCATCTTCCATGTGGATGGAGGATGCCGCTGGTACATGCAAATGTGGACACATCCCACTACGACTGTCCTACAAAATGCTTTGGCTGGGAGTAGCCATTAGAGTGTTGTGACCAGCAGTCTGAGATCACATTGACCCCTCCAGTGCAGCAGGTTCCTAAACTTGATCCACAGGTAATAGCTGGTGTATGATACCAGTCTCCCAGAGTTAGAGCACACAATGCAGAGTGCTGAGCTGAGCCTTGGCCACCTGAAGTCTTCCACTAACAAAGCCAGGTGACTGAACACAGCTTATACCATAATCAAACCCTCAAGGTCATAAAATAGAATAAAAGAAAAAAAATCCAAAGGACAGCAACTTCAAAGATTGAAGGAACACCAGCCCACAAAGATGAGAAAGAACCAGTGCAGGAACTCTGACAACTCAAAAAGCCAGAGTGCCTTCTTTCCTCCAAATGAGCACACTAGCCCTCCAGCAAGAATTCCTAATGAGGCAGAGGTAGCTGAAATGACAGAAATAGCATTCAGATTATGGATAGGAATAAAAATCATTGAGTTTTGGGAGAATGTTGAAACCACATCTAAGGAAGCTAAGAATCACAATATTAAGATACAGAAGGTAACAGACAAAATAGCCAGTACAGAAAAACAAACAAACAAACAAACAAAAAACATAAATGACAGGATAGAGCTGAAAAACACTCTACAAGAATTTCATAATGCAATTGTATTAAGAGAAGAATACCAAGCTAAGGAAAGAATCTCAGAGCTCAAAGACTGTTTTTCTTAAATAAGATGGTCAGACAAGAATAAAGAAAAAAGAATAAAAAGGAATGAAGCAAACCTCCAGGAAATATAGGAATATATAAAGAGACCAATATTATGACTCATTGGTGTCCCCGAAAGAGATGAGAAGAAAGAAAGCAACTTGGAAAACATAAGTCAGGATATCATCCATGAGAACTTCCCCAACCTAACCACCAATATTCAAATTCAGAAAATGAAGAGAACTCCCACAAAGTACTTCACAAGAAGATCATCCCCAAGATACATAATTATCAGGTTCTGTAAGGTCAAAATGAAAGAAAAAAATGTTAAAAGTAGCTAGAGAGAAAGGACAGATCACCTACAAAAGGAAGCCCATCAGACTAACAGCAGACCTCTCAGTACAAATCCTACAAGTCAGAAGAGATTTGGGACCTATATTCAATAACCTAAAGAGAAGAAATTCCAGCCAAAGAAATTTATATTTGGCTAAACAAAGCTTCCTAAGTGAAGGGAAATATGATCCTTTTCAGAAAAGCAAATGCTGAGGGATTTTATTACCACCAGACCTGCCTTACAAGAGCTTCTGGAAGCATTAATATGGATGGGAAAGACCATAACCAGCAACCACACAAACTCACTTAAGGACACAGACCAGTAACACTATAAAGCAACCAAACAAGTCAGCATAATAAGTCGACAGCAACAGGATAACAAGATCAAATACACATTAATACTAACCTTGAATGTAAATGAACTAATTTTCCCAATTAAAAGGCACAGAATGTAAGCTGGATAAAGAACCAAAACACAATTGTATGCTGTCTGCAAGAGACCCATCTGACATGCAGTGATGCCCACAGAATCAAATAAAGGAATGGAAAAAAATCTGCCATGCAAAGAGAACACAGAAAAAAAGCAATTATTGCAATCCTAATTTCAGACAAAAAAGATTTTAAACCAATAAAAATAAGAAATGGCAAAGAAGGGCATTATATAATAGAAAAGGGTTCAATTCAACAAGACCTAACTAGCCTATATATACATGCACCTAACACAGAAACATTCAGATTTATAAACCAAGTTCTTAGGGACCTTCAAGGAGACTTAGGCTACTACACAATAATACGGGGAAATTTTGACACCCCCACTGACAGTATTAGACAGACCATTTAAGCAGAAAATTAACAAAAATAATCAGAACATGAACTTAACACTGGACCAAATTGAGCTGTGAAACAGCTACATAACTGTTCATCAAAAAACAACATAATGTACATTCTTCTCATGTACACACAACACATATTCTAACAATGACCACACAATCAAACATAAAGCAATCCTCAGCAAATGCAAAAGAAACGAGATCATACCAACCACTCTCTTGGACAACAGCACAATAAACATAGAATTGAAGAACAAGAAAATCAGTCAAAACCATACAATCACATGGAATTTAACAACCTGTTCCTGAATGACTTTTGGGTAAATAATGAAATTAAGGCAGAAATCAAGAAGTATTTTGAAATTAGTGAGAACAAAGATATAATATACCAGAATCTCTGGGACACAATTAAGGCAGTGTTGAGAGGGAAATTCATAGCACTAAACACCCCCATCAAAAAGTTAGAAAGACCTCAAATTAACAACCTAATATCATAGTTAAAAAGCTACAGAAGCAAGAGAAAAACAACAACAACAACAAAATAACAACAAAAACAAACAAACAAAAAAACCCAAAGCTAGCAGAAGATAAAAAATACACCAAATCAGAGCTGAACAGAGACTGAGACATAATACAACCATTCAAAAGATCAACGAAGCCAGGAGTTGACTTTTTGAAAACATTAATACAATAGATAGACCACTGGTTAAACTAAGAAAGAAGAAAACAGAGAAGATCCAAATAAACAGAATCATAAATGAGAAAGGGAATATTACCACTGACCCCACAAAACTACAAATAACCATCAGAGACTACTATGAAATCCTCTATGAACACAAACTAGAAAATCTAGAATAAATGGATAAATTCCTACACACATACAGTCTTCCAAGCTGAACCAGGAAGAAATTAAATCCCTGAAGATAACTATAACAAATGCTGAAATTGAATCAGTAATAAACAGCCTGCAAACCAAAAACAGCCCTAGACCAGATGAATTCACTTCTGAATTCTACCAGATGTACAAAGAAGAGTTGGTGCATTCCTACTGAAACGGTTCCCCCACAATTGAGAAGGGACTTCTCCTCAACTCATTCTATGAGGCCAGTATCATCCTGATAACAAAACCTGGCAGAGACACAACAAAAAAGAGAACTTTAGGCCAATATACTTGATGAACTTTGATGCAAATATCCTTAACAAAATACTACCCAGCTGAATCCAGCACTATATCACGAATCCACCACAATCAATATTCTTTATCCCTGGGATGCAAGGTTTGTTCAATATACAAAAACCAATAAATATGATTTATAAAATAAAGAGAACTAAAGACAAAAGCCACATGAACATCTCAATAGATGCAGAAAGACTTTTGAAAAAATTCTGCTTCCCTTCATGTTAAAAACTCTTTACAAATTAGGTATTGAAGGAATATACCTCAAAATAATAAGAGCCATATATTGCAAACCCACAGCCAACATCAGACTGAATGGGCAAAAGCTGGAAGCACTGTCCTTGAAAACCAGCACCAAAAAAATGATTTCTCCACTTGCTATTTCTATTCAACACAGTATTGGAAATTCTGACCAGAGCAATCAGGCAAGAGAAAGAAATAAAAGGCATCCAAATAGGAGGAGAGGAAGTCAAACTAATCCTGTTTGCAGATGAAATGATTCTATATCTAGAAAAGCCCAGTTTCAGCTCGAAAGCTCTGTAAGCTGACAAACAACTTCAGCAAAGTATCAAGGTATAAAAATCAATGTACAAAAATGACTACCATTGCTATACATCAACAACAGCCAAGCTGAGAGCCAAATCAGGAATACAATCCCATTCACAATTGCCACAAAAAGAATAAAATACCTAGGAATACAGCTAACCAGAAAGGTGAAAGATCTCTACAATGAGAACTATAAAACACTGCTAAAAGAAATCAGAGATAACAGAAATAAATTTAAAAAAAAATTCTATGCTCATGGATAGGAAGATTCAATATGGTTAAAATGACCATATTGCCCAAAGCAATTTGTACATAAAATGTTATTCCTATCTAATTAGCAACTACATTATTCCTATCCAATTAGCAATTACATTCTTCACAGAACTAGAAAAAAAATCAATTTTAAAATTCATATGGAACCAAAAACATAGCCCAAATAATCAAGGGAATCTTAAGCACAAAGAACAAAGCCGGAGGCATCATGCTACCTGACTTCAAACTATCCTACAGGGCTACAGTAACCAAAACAACATGGTATTGGTACAAGAACATATGCATAGACCAAAAAAACAAAACAGAGAGTCAAGAAATAAGTCTGTACAGCTACAACCATCTGCTCTTTGAGAAAACTGACAAAAAATAAGTAATGGGGAAACAACTCCCTATTCAATAAATTGTGCTGGGATAACTGGCTAGCCATATGCAGAGATTGAAACTGGACCCTTTCCTTACATCATATACAAAAATCAATTCAAAATGTATTAAATACTTAAATGTAAAACCCAAAACTATAAAAGCACTGGAAGACAACATAGGCAATACTATTCTGAACATAAGATCTGACAAAGATTTCATGGAAAATATGCCAAAAGCAATCACAGCAAAAGCAAAAATTGACAAACTAATTGAAAAACTGGTACACTAGTCTCCAGTGAAAGCAACTGCACCTGAAGTTAATGGAAAGAAAGAAGGGGAAAAGGAAGAAGAAGAGGAGGTAAAAGATGAGGGTGATAAGTTAGACCAAGCTGAAGAGGGAGGATCTGAGAAGGAAGCCTCTAGTGAAAAAGAGGAAGGTGAGCAGAAAGAAGGAGAAACAGAGGCTGAAGGTGAAGTAGAGGAAGCCAAAGCTAAAGAGGAAAAGAAAGTTGAGGAAAAGAGTGAGGAAGTGGCCACTAAGGAGGAGTTGGTGGCAGACACCAAGGTGGAAAAGCCAGAAAAAGCCAAGTCTACTGTGCCAAAATCACCAAAGGAAGAGGCAAAGTCAAAAGCAGAAGTGGGGAAAGGTGAACAGAAAGAGGAAGAAAAGGAAATCGAGGAAGCTCCCAAGGAATAGAAGGTAGAGAAAAAGGAAGAGAAACCAATGGATGTGCCAGAGAAGAAGAAAGCTGAGTCCCTGGTAAAGGAGGAAGCCATGGAGGAGGCAGTCACCATTACCAAATTGGTAAAGGTGCACTTGGAGAAAGAGACCAAAGAAGAGGGAAGCCACAGCAACAGGAGAAAGAGGAGAAAGTGGGAGGAAATGGGGAATGAGAAGGAAGGGAGTGATAAAGATTCCAAGGAATCCAGGAAGAAAGACATAGCTGTCAATGGAGAGGTAGAAGGAAAAGAGAAGGGAGAGCAGGAGACCAAGGCAAAAGGCAGTGGGAGGGAAGAGGAGTAAGACATTGTCACCAATGACCTAGACTTAAGCCCAGCAGATGAAAAGAAGGGGGATGATAAAAATGAAGATAAAGTGGTGGTGACCAAAATAGTAGAAAAAATCACCAGTGAGAGGGAGATGGTGCTACCAAATACATCACTAAAACTGTAACCATCACTCAAATGGTCGAAGAGCATGAAGAGACCTTTGAGGAGAAACCAGTGTCTACTAAAAAGGTAGAAAATGTCACTTCACATGCCGTAATAAAGGAAGTCACCCAGAGTGACTAAGATTTGAGTCCACTGCAAAAGTTTAAGCCATACGACAATTTCAAAATGCATGTGATTGACAGCTTCAAAACAGAACAGATTCTCCCATAGGGGCTCCAGACATTGTATTTTACTTTGTGCAATATGAGGAGACTGCATGCAAGCTCAGTGTGCTCCCCCCTCAGTCTTTGGGGGATTCAAATGCATGATACTGTATGTACCTGGGAAATTTACCAATTTCCTGCACTGTTGGAAGGGGGTCACTCAGAAGGGGAGATGTCTTGAGATGTATTATGTAAAGTACCAACTGAGCCAAAAACAATAAATGAAACACAGAACTCTCTTAGCCTTAAGAAAGCTATATATGAATAATTATGTTTACCACACTGGTGCATTTAAAATGGACTTTTCTTCATGGGAGAACCTCGTTGACACGGACAGTTTGCAATCTTATGTTGATCGATGTGAAATGTCATAGCAGTACTTGCTCAATAAAGGTCATATTGGAAACATAGTCAAAAAATAAATAAATGAAAGAGCTTCTGCACAGCAAAGGAAACTATCAACAAAGTTACCAGACAACCAATAGAATGGGAGAAATTATTTGCAGATTATGTAGCTGACAAAGGTCGATTATCTAGCATCTATAAGGAATTTAAACAAATTTACAGGAAAAAAACAAACAGCCCCACTAAAAAGGGTGAAAAGTATATGAACAGACACTTTTCAAACACAAAAACAAAAAAATACTTGCAGCCAAAAAAAAGTATTTTAAAAAAGCTCAACATCACTGATCATTAGAGACACGCAAATAAAAACCACAATAGAAAACATCTCACACCAGTCAGAAAGCTTTTTATTAAAAAGTCAGAAAGTAGCATATGTTGGCCTGGTTGTGGAGAAGAGGGCTCACTTTTACACTGTTGGTGGGAGTATAATTTAGTTCGTCCATTGTAAGAAGCAGTGTGGTAACTCCTCAAAGAACCAAAAACAGAACTGCCATTTGACCCAGCAATCCCATTACTGGGTATATAGCCAAAGGAATATGATTGATGTATTATAAAGACACATGCCCACATATGTTCATTTCAGTAAATGTGGTACATATGCACCACGGAATTCTATGCAGTCATAAAAAGAATGAGACCATGTCCTTTGCGGTAACATGGATGGAGCAAGAGACCATTATTCTATGCAAACTAATACAGGGACAGAAAAACAGAAAACAGAAATACTGCATGTTCTCACTTATAAGTGGGAGCTAAATGATGAAAACACATGGACACAAAGACAGCAACAACCAGACAGTGAGGCCAACCAGAAGGTGGAGGGTAAGAGGGAGAGGATCTGAAAAAAGTAGTTATTAGCTACTTTGCTTAGTACACAGGTGATTAAACATTCTGAATATCAAACCCCCATGACATAATTTTACCTATATAACAAACCTGCACATATACCCCTAAACCTAAAAGTTTTCTAAAAAAGAAAAATGTTGTATTTTGCAAAAAGTAAACATTTTCCTTTATTAATACTTTATAATTTTCAGTGTATGTATTTTCCTGTTTGATTAAATATATTTCAAAGTATTTATTCTTATTATTATATAAATAGGATTTTTAAAATTTCCTTTCAGATAATCTATTTTTAGCCTCTACAAATGCCACTTACTTTTATTTAGAGCAACTTTACTAAATTCATGTATTAATTGTAGCATTTTTGGTTGTCATTGAGACTTTTAGACTTTTCTGCCTATACACCTATATGTCAACTGTAAACAGAGATAATATTACTGTTTCTTGTCTAGTTTGAATGTCTTTCATTTCTTTTTATTGTATCATTGTTCTTGACTAGAAGTGGCAAGAGCAGGAAATCTTGTACAGGATTTTAGAGGAGAGGCTTTTGGGTTTTCCCCATTGATTATTATGTTATCAGTGGGCTTTTCTTATATGGCTATTATTGTGATGAGGTAGGTTTTCTCTACACCTATTGTATTGAGAGTTTTTTAAATTAGAAATAGGTATTAAATTTGACAAATATTTTTCCAGAACTTATTGAGATGATCATATGGTTTTTGTGTTTCATTCTGTTTATGTAGTGTATCACATTGAATGACTTATGCATGTTCAACCATCCTTGCACCCCAGGGATAAGTCCTAGTTGGTCATTGTGTACAATTTTTTCAATGTGTTGTTGCATTCAGTTTGCTTGTATTTTATTGAGCATTTCTGAGTCTACATTCATCAAGGTTACTGGCCTGTAGTTTACTTTTCTTGTGGATGTCTTTGGTTATCAGGTCGATGCTGGCTACATGAAATGAGTTTGTAAGTGTTCCATCATCTAGATTTTCAAATAGTTTAAGAAATATTATTAATTCTTTGAATGTTTGCTGGAATTCTCCCACAAAGCCATGCAGTGCTGGACTATTCTATTTCTTCTTCAATCTTGGTAGGATGTATCTTTCTAGGAATTTATGTATTACTTCGCATTTATCTAATTTGTTGGTGTATATTTATTCATAACAGTCCCTTAAGGGCTCTTTTTATTTCTGAGACATCTGTTGTAATGTTTCCTCTTTCATATACAGTTTTATTTATTTCAGTCTTCTCTCTCTCTTTGGTTACTCTAGGAAAGGATGTGTCAGTTTTATTTGTCTTTTTCAAAACACAACTCAGTTTTGTTGACTTTTGAAATAGCTTTTTTGTCCTTTTTAAAATTTATTTTTTGCCTTAATTAGCATTATTTCCTTCTTTCTGATAATATTTGGGTTAGTATGTATTTTTTTCTGTCTTTGGCTAGTTATTTTTTTAGGTTGTTTATTTGAGATGTTTCTTTTTTTTTTTCTTCCTCAGAAACATTTAATAGGTATTAACAAACAGAAGCCATGTCTCTCGAGGCTGTGAGACAAGATGGTGGATCCCCATGCCATTAACCCCCAGAACCCAGGGCTTATATACTATAGGTAAGGAGAATTGAAGTAATTTGGTCAGAATTTATGGTAAGTGTGTGCTCTTAACAGTAGTAGAGTAAAAATCTTAGAGGCATTCCCAGAACCGAGGTTAATGAAAAGCCAACATGTTGGATTAGCATTTAAGACAGAATTGGTTTAGCCTGTACACTCCACCTATCTGACCCAGATTTTACAATTTCACATTCTCTCTTCTTCCAAGATGGTCCCTGAGCCTAGAGAGAGGTTGTTTGATATTGCACAGCTTTAGCAGTAGTGCATTGGCAATGGAAAACAGATTGGGCCCAGTTGCTATAATGTTCCTTCTCAGAAATACTTTTGCTATATCTCACAACTGTTGGTATGTTTTCTTTTCATTTTTGTCAGGAGGTAATTTTTAATTTTTTAAATTTAATCTTGGACCCAATGATTGTTCAAGAGTGTATTGTTTAGCTTCCATGTATTTGTGAATCATATGGTTTCTTGTTTCTTTACCATTAACTGATTTACACTTTCACTCTATTGTGACCTGAAAAGATACTTGATACAGTTTCTATCATCTTAAAGTTGAGTTGTTTTGTTATCTAATAGGTGATCTATTGTGAAGAGTGTTCCATATGTGCTTGAAAAGAATGTACAATCTTCTGTTGTTGGGTAAAAAGTTCTGTAGATGTCTGTTAGGTTAATTTGGTCTCTCCTATTGTTCAAGTAAGCTGTTTTCCATTGATTTCTCTGTGGATGTTCTGTCCATTATTAAAAGTGGAATATTAAAATCTTCTAGTATTATTGTGCTGCTATAAATTTCTCCAGTTCTGTCAGTGTTTGCTTTAAATATTTAGATCTGATATTGAGTGCATATACATTTACAATAGTTATATCTTCCTATTGAATTAACCTTTTTATCTTTATGTAATGACCTTCTTTGCCCCTGGAGACAGTTTTTGACATAAAGTCTATTTTGTCTAATGTAAGTATAGCCATTCTGCTTTCTTTTCATTACCATTTGCATAAAATATATATTTTTCCATCCTATCATGTTTAACTATGTGTGTCCTTAAATAGTTGGTGCCAAGTTTTTATTCTTTCAGCCAGTTAATATCGTGTGATTGGGCAGTTTAATCCTTTTACATTTAAAGTAACTATTGATAGGGAAGGATTTACTATTGAAATTTTACTGACTGCTGTTTTTCTTGTTCCTTTTTTTCTTTCTTGATGTCTTATTTTGTGTTTCTTTTTTTGTTATTGTTGTTTGACAGGCTTTAATTCCTTTCTCCTTTTCTTTTATAACTAGTTTTTTAACTACTGTAGGTAGTAGATTTTCTTTTTTAAGTACTATGGCTATTTTCTGTGTGAATGACATGAGTCTTACATAAAATATAATTATAATAATCTAAAACTGATAACTTCTCTTCCACACAAAAACTTCACATTTTTACCTTGTTCCCATTATAGATTATTGATATCAGAATTTACATATCTTAACATGTGTATCTATTAATGTAATTTTAGTTATACCTATATTTAATACTTTTTTAAATTTTAGATTAGAATTAAAAGTGATTTACCTACCACAACCACAATAATATAGTATTTTTTATTTGCCTCTATAAATTTACCATTACCGATGAGTTTTATACTTTTGTATGCTCTTATATTGTTATTTAGCATCCTTTGATTTCAACTTAAAGTACTCCCTTTAGCATTTTTTATATGACAAGTCTAGTGGCAATAAACTCCCTCAGCTTTCGATTTTTTTAATTTTGTCTTAAGTTTTAAAGGATAATTTTCTGGGTATACTGTTTTGATTGGCAGTTGTGTATTTGTTTGTTTGTTTCCGCATTTTAAATGTATCATCCAACTCCCTTCTGGCCTCCAAAGTTTCTGCTGAAAATCCACCAATGATCATAGGAGGGTTCCCTAACACATAACAAGTTGTTTTTCTTTTGCTGCTTTCAGTGGTCTCTGGGTGTCCAGAGTATGCCAGCTCTCATCATTGCCCTGAAACAGGTGAGATACTGATCCTTTTTAGTAGTAACCATAAATGTTGGGGCACTAACTGGATTTTCCAATTTCTTCTCTCCTCAGGGAAAAGCTGGGTGTATAATCTGCTCATGCTGAACTGAGCTGGGGAAAAGAACTATGGCAAATGTTTGCAAGCTCATTCAAACCACAGACTTTTTCAAACTGTTGCTTTGATCTCTGTAGCCTCCATGGGCCTAATGGATGCTGATCTCCATTAGTTCTCATAGACACGTCAGTTGAAAGCTAGTTCCTCAGGTAGCAGCTGGAAAAGTTAAGGGGATAGATATGTAGATAAATTCCTTCCAGACTGAAGCTAGAGGCTTGCTTTTATCATTAGAGTGAGCAAGTGGGAGAATTTGTGGAAATATCCACATGCCTGTTTAAAATGGCTGCTTTGTTTTCTATAGCCCACATGTAAATAGTGAATGGCAACACCAATAGCTCTCATAGACAGTGAGTTAGAAGCCAGACCTCAGGTAGGAGCTAGAAAACTTAGAATGCTTGATTTGTAGTCTAACTTCTTTCATAGAGAATCTGGGAACTGGGCTTTGTTGTTGTAGCTAGTTGGTGAATGAGGAGGTGAAGTGGAGGAGATATGGGAAGAACCCATTTGTTTGGGCATTTTTTCTCAATGTACCTTAGTTTGTCTGTAGTAGCTGGCCACAGTAGTGATGATTCTATTTCCTGAGAGGTGAGAATTGCTGCCAAAGAATGTCTGCCATGGATGAGAATACAAAGAAAGGAAACTAAGAACTCTCAAAGCAGCTACTAGAAACCCTTCATAGAGGACAAGAATTATCTTCAGTTTTGAGATATATGAGAATGATTACAACTCCTTTGAGCAGGCTTCACATACTGCCCAAAGATGCTTCTCTAGTTTGTGTCCTTCTTGCTATCAGAAAGAGAGAAGGAAACTAAATAAAACAAAATAAAAATTTTAGAATTTTGTGCTGTCTTGGACATGGAAGCAATGGGTCAGGATCAAGATTGTGGAAAGATGCCAGTTCGGATGCAGGCTAGAAAAATTAGTATTGTCCTCAACTGGAATCAGCAACCAAAAGACTAAGTGTATGTGTCTCTGTAGGCTGAAGGGTTTTCAGATATCATAAAAGATAAGAAGTCAAGCTACACTTGTTTGGAAGCATGTGGCAGAGAACACAGATTAATTGTTTAAAGGATGGCCCAAACTTAAGGCCAAGTCACATCAAACCCATCAGAAACCAAAAGTGTGGCAGAATTCCTAACAGAAGGATGAGAGAGGAAGAGCCTTATATAGATCTGTCTTCTGTTTCACATTCTGACTATTCTAAAGCTTTTAATGAAGAATTCCCTAGAGTCATAAAACAAAGGCTAAATGGTGAGTGGCTGCAAATACACATAAAAATATAGTGAATTTTTTGAAAAGATATACTAATTTCAGGTGGCTAGAAAGATTTATTAACATAAGTAATAAAGGTCTTTTAGTTGTCAAAGTAACTTATACTTAATATTTATTGCAATTTTAAAAAATTAAAATGCTAAAAATTATTTGTGAAAATGAGTTGTTTTATATGTTTACATTTAATAACAATACTTTTTACATAAAGAAAATACAATAATTAAATATATCTGAACTAGTCAAAAGATAATTATAAGATTTAAAATTGAGTTTATGTGCAATAAATGTGGTAAACAATAATGTGATATAAAATCTTCTAAATTTAATAATATTCTTGGTAGAGGATTCTGGGGCAAAAATATGATTTTCTCCATATCCCTGCCCACTACCCAATATATGATAACATGTGGCATTATTAAATATGGAAAAATATTAAAGAATGGCAGTAGACTAGAGAGAAGAGAAGGAAAGGCATACAGGAAATCCAGGTCCCTGCCCTCAGAGACCTCTCAATTCCTGGCATATGTTTATGTTTTGAACATTATGCAAATTTGTCTGCATGACAAATTTATTCTTGTTTCAGGTTAAGAGTAGAAATCAACCCATAGTCCTTACGATTAGAATTGCCTTAGCATAACGATTCAATCAGTAAGAAAATATAATAGACTAGAGGGTAATGGAGATTTTAAAATTTATATTATCTTAATATATTTATTAGAAAAAATATTAGATTGCTCAATAAATCAATGGTAACTTTAAGGCTTTTACTGTCTACTACAAAGAATTTTTATAGATATATGAAGAATGATGGTAAGGAAGAGATATGATGCCATGAGGCCTACTGTGAGCAAGACACTGCTAATCAGGCTATTAGGTTGGTCCAAAAGTAATTACAGTTTTTGTCTTTGAAAGTAATGTCAAAAACTGTGATTACTTTTGCACCAACCTAATACTTCCGCACTTTGGAAAGGCTTTGCCTACATCATTTTGGTTATTGTGAGAAGACTTGCACACATAAGGAATTTTTCAAAATAATATTTTAACTTGAAATACTTTTCTTTGACAAATACAGTAAAAGTGATAGAGCCAAAAAGAGGACTAGGCATAGCCCTGAGGGGATTTCCGAGCAAAAAAATCCCAGGGGATTTGTATGCAAACACTTCGCTCAATAAAAGGAGAGGCCAGGTGTGGTGGCTCACAACTGTAATCCCAGCACTGTGGGAGGCCGAGGTGGCTGGATTGCTTGAGCCCAGGAGTTTAGGACGAGCATGGGCAACATGACAAAAACTTATCTCTACCAAAAAAAAAAAAGAAAAAATAGCGGACATGGTGGGGTACACCTATAGTCCAGCCACTTAGAGAGGCTGATGTGGGAGAAACGCTTCAACTCGGGAGTTTGAGACCCGCCTGGGCAGTTTAGTGAAACCTCATCACTACAGATAATAATAATAATAATTATCTGGGTGTGGTGACACACGCCTATAGTTTCAGCTACTCTGGAGGCTGAGGTGGGCGGATAGATTGAACCCAGGATATCTAGGCTGCAGTGATCTGTGATCATGCCACTGCACTCCAGCCTGGGTGACAGAGACCCTCTCTTAACAAAATAAAAAATACAAAAAGGAGAAAGTCATCAAACAAAATGATGTGACTTAGTCTGGTAATATTCGTCAAGAAGTCAAGATTTATGCTCTCTTACAATTCTGACTTTCACATTGAATTAAATTAAGGGTGTCTTGGCTTGTTTAGTGTAGTTTAGTAAAATACAGTCATTTGTTTTCCACAGCTATTATATTATTCTCCATTAAAAAAAGAAGAAGAAGAAGAAATGAGAAAAAAAAATCAGTCCCTAGCTAGAAATTTTAAGAGTCAATAACATTTGGGAAATGAAAATATATTCTGAAGTAGTATAATCATACCCAAATTTTTAGACTCTGTACTCAATCTATAAGATGTATGTGAGCAAAATATTATTAGAAGCAACATGAATGATAATCACGCACTACAAGCGCACGAATAATGTTTCCCTGAAAGGTACAATAAAAAATTATTCAATGTGAAACAAAACGTTGACTGCAACAATTATTAAAATTTGACTATTGAATTGTCAGTATACTCAATTATGAAGACATTTGGAAAATATAAATGAGCACTACTGTTTTTGCTCATTTTTTAAAAATGAAAATTTTTGGTAATGTCTGACCTGAAGGCAGATATTCATTATAATAGTCAAATATCATAAATACATTTCAAATGTTATGTATTCTACATAAATTACTCAGGAGAGGAACATGTAGGCTCATAAACTTGCACACAAGTAAAGGAATGTTTCTTAGGAAAAAATTCTGTGTTAAAGATATTCCACACCAATGTCTCAGGAAAAGGCATTTGTAGTATACTGCTCCATTACCTATGCTTCATAAAAAATGCAGCTATCTAATTTAATTTAGCTCTGAACAGATTTCTTAGCAGCATAATTTATGTTTTGAGAATATCTCTTAAGAATCATAGCTTGCAATCTATGGTGCTTCAATGAAGAATAATCTGTAAACAAAATCTCCATCTATCAACAAAGGCCATTAAAGACCATAAAATAACCCATCCTTGACTGATTAATGCTGCTACTGAAAGGGATTTCAGGCTATTAACATCCAGAAAATATACTGCCACTGTGGTTGCATTTATTATAAATCACATAGTTATATGTACTGGTGTAAAGCAATGTTTTCTTAACCACCTCCCTCTCCCAAATTAATTTAATAACAAAGATACTTTGAAGAACACTAAATATCTATAGAAAGTAAATGATTCTATTTTTTTCCCTAGAGGAAATGTATGTGAAGGCAGGGCTATTTATAATACATTAGATAGCTAAATATTGGTTTAACACTTTATATGCAGTTCAATTATGTTCATATATTTATGTCATTAAAATAGTTTCTCTAATGTAAAATAAAACATTAAATTCATTTGTATTTCTTGATACTTTTATTAACAATACTGATGGTTTTTCATGGGTAAAATAGCCATCAAAAATTGTTAGTTGTTACCTTTAGGTTCATCCTATTCTGTCAATTTGATTGTCACTAACTCTTCCTCTTAGGGGATGTGAATATAGCTGTTGAGCTCATACTCTTGGAAGGTAAAGAGGCTTTGTTTACTGGTGCAGATCTCGATTTTTTCAAATATAGTATTTCACCTCAGAAATACTATCTATTAGCTCTTATGCCTTACAAAACTACTGGCTTGGATTTGTCCAATGGTTTTAACCCTTGATCTTACCTTTAACATGCTTGGAATCTCACAAATATTTTCTTATATTGTTTAGTACAAGGCACTGTCTAAATAGTTTAGCCACATTATCTCATTCCATTTACACCAATCCCATGAGATAGGTACGTTTTAACCATTTTATAACATAAGCAAAACTCAATTTCAAGAGGTTAACTAATATTTCCAAGATCACATAGCTAGTTTATGGCAGAGGAGGATTCAAACACAGGACTGTGTTGATTCAAAAATCTATAGAGTTAAATGTGTACTTGTCCTTCCGTAATATCTGAGGCTAGACAAAACAATCCCTGGCTTTTCTCTCCTGCTTTCTATGAATATTCTGTCTTAGACTACTTAGTCATTATATATTTTTGTCTTTTCAGTAGAGTTCTGTTTTGCTGTGCTAGTTCTTTTGGGTTTCTATAATAATAAAAATAATAATAAAAGGAGAATAGAAGAATAAGAGTAGATCAGGGAGAAGATATTCTGAAGATAAGTTGGTTTAAAGAGAATGAGTTAATGGATCAGCTTTTGTCTCTGAAGTCAACAAATGACAAAGAAATGAAAAAGGTGTACCCTGGAACAATGCATCTATCTGCTGGTAGTACTTGAGAAATACATACAAAATTCATATTTTTATTTTCTTTTGTTTCATTTTATTGCTTATTTTGGTCAGTGTTATTTGCTTCTTATACTAGTAACATTCCTCCAGCACAGAACAACATATCTTTGCAAATATTTCATTAAATATATAAATGTCTTAAATACCACAAATGAAAGACATGAGTAACACAATATAGTCCACAAAACTCAAAAGGAAATAAACACAGTTTAGCATTTTTTTCTTACAATTGAAAAGATTTTAATAACTGTTGAGTATTTATAATTATCTATGCTAACTCCCATTTTCTTGCCAAGTTATGTGTCTTTAAACACTATGGAGTCCCCTTGCAAAATTTAACAGAGAAGCAAAGATATGTATCAGTAATATTGATGTTTTTATTTTTTTAAAAAAAACCTCCCTGATAATTTAAGTGAATTGGATTAGAATAATTAAAACAGAAATGAAGGACACAGAAGCACATATTCTCAATATCGTCACCTCTGATTACTTTAGAATTCTGTTAGCATGTGCTGTAAAAATCCTTTTTAAAATAAATATTCCCACTATAAGCTTAAGTTTATTCATATCTAGGGAGAATTGTTTTGTTCGGATAATTAGATCAACAGCTGACTCTTTAAGCTGAGATAATGGCCCACTAGCCAATAGGAATCACACATGTTAAGGAGAACAGAATTCAAAGAGTCTGGTCCCTTTTGCACAGTGACAGAACATATGAGGCAGCTACATATCTAGAGAGACAAGAAGATAAATATAAGAGAGCAACCAAATCAAGATGTAATTACTCTGCATTTAATCAAGGCACCTTAGGGTTAGTCCAGACCTTTTATCCAAAACAGCTCTGTAAACAGCCTACTAAACCAGCATCATCAGCTTTCTGTATTTCTCATCTGTCTAAGTCAGTCTTCCTTGTTTCACCATATTCCTACTTGTTTTGTCTTCAACACTTTCTGAGAGAATGAAGAAAAATGACAAAAAACAAATTGTATGATTGTATGAATGATTAATATCTCCTCTTTCATGTTGTTCCTCTTCTATTGTTCAAAGAGTATAGAGTGAATAAATACAAAAACAAACACAACACTGAAGTTAATAAATAATAAGGTCCATCTCATTTGTTAAATTTCGTTTCTTAAGGTATATGTGTCTTTGAACCTTCTGGTTATTTCTACAAAATAGTTCTAGTGGCTTTGGCAGAGTGGTAGCATAACACATCACTTTTTAAACAGAGTTGAATAATTGTATAACCCTAAAAGTAAAAGAGGCAAACAATAAAATGAAATGAACAAATGAAATAAAATCAGAAATTCTCAGCTTAACAAAACCACCTTTCTTGTGAGCACATTTTGTGCATAGTGAAATAAGGGACATATCTCTAAAGCTCTGTACACATATATTTATTAAAATAAATTGAATTAACAATTGGCACTACACAGAGTGGCATGAAAAGGTTCAGTATCTTAACCTCAGCTATTCACTAAGATAAAAGGATCACCAACATAAAATCTTTTTTCTTTGCATTGTTAAACTTAAATAAGTGTTTTTTCTCTAAATAAAATGATTAATTTTTAATTATGTAGATAAATTTTGGATCTAGGTGGACTGGAGGCATAAATGACACTTACTTAGAGATATAACCAGCAAAGTCAAGATGGCAACTTTACAGAAAAACATAATCTAAAAGTTTGAAAAACAAACTGCAGAATATATTGTGTGTGGCTCTTTTTATATTCTAAACTATGTTATAAAAATTTTGCCTCGACTTACTTATATAAGAAAAATAAAACTGGTTGCAGAAATATAATTTAGTATTATGTCTTGTGTGACCTAACAATTGGGTAACAATTATACTAAAATGGGACATAATTTATTAATTTACACAGTATAAAACCTATTGGAATAGACTTTGTAAGTTCCAAGTAAGTTTCTTATCGTACCTGGTCAGATTTACTTTGCAATGTCCATCTTAATATTTATGTTTTTAATATTTTTAAAATAAATTTTAAGGCAATAGCATGAATAGATGAATACATAAGATAATAAATGAAACTCTAGCTCTTTATAACTTAAAAGAGGGTAGGATAAAGAGGCATGGCATAATTTTACATTTTAACTTCAGTAGATGACAATATTTGGGAAAACTAAGGAAATATGGAAGGTTAGACAAAAATACCGATTCAGGGCTAGAAACAATATTTATATTTTACAATGCCCATTTTAGGGAAACACGGCATTGCTATGTTTTTAAAGCACGCTTTAGAGAGTGAAAGAGTTCACTTTAGAAAGTACAATTTAGAAGGACTTCACTTTCTAAAGTATGCCTTAGAAACACAGCAATGCTATGTTTTTCTAAAATGAAGAGAAAGAAACTTTATCACTCTCAAACAGCAAGGCTTAAAATTTGTAGAGAATGTGAATGAGGAAAAGAAAGACAATTGTTCAGGAAGTTCAATAAATCATATTTGCTGAGTCATTGAGTTATTAAATTCAGCAAATATGATTCACTTTGTGGCATAAGTAACAGGGAAACATGTTCCATCACAATTTCAAGATGAAATATAAAAAGCTTCAGTCTCTCTTTTGTCTCTCTCTCACACACACATACACACACACACACACACACTCACACACATACACATATGCACAAGGTAATTGAGGCTAGGGAGGTGAAAGAAATGTAGAGTAGGGTCTCTGACAAATGTGGTGAAGGGTCTCTGTGTACATAATGATTTTTTGAACAATCTGAAGACAATTAAGCAAATTCAGAATAATTTTAACATTTCAGCAGATTAACTGGTATTAAAAGGGGAAAAGATTGGCAGAAGCTTTATTCTAATCATGCACCAGAACAACAACAACAACAAAAACACACACAAAAAATCAAAGTGGCAAATGGTTTCATTGATTATTGTGAACTATCCGGCACCCACGAGAAAACAATAATCCAAATTTGTTAGCTCCTCAACCTTGGATGAGTTTTCATGAGTATTTTATAAATTAGTGCTATAATGGCAGGAGACAACGAACTCCCAGACCACTTCCAAATTTAAAATTATATAGTTTTCCATTGAATAGTTTATTATTTTCTTAATAAAGATAACTGTTTCTTAATAAAACTAATGCTATATAAAGACAAAGTGGATAAAAAATCATTAGCAAGAGAATTAGTAAACAATGCATAGCAACATACATGCATATGAGCATATATATACACCCATATATGCATATACACTAGACCTATATGCACATAATTGTAATTATATATTAGTATAACAATAAAAATCCTAAAATATCTCAAATGTGGAAATAAAAATGCTGAGCCAACACTAGCCTAGAGGGCTGAGAGGCCAGAAGAGATTTTGAGTTTCACCATCTGTTGGATCATTCAAGCATTTCACAACTTCCTGCCAGTATCAAATCTCCGCTATTTTATTTGTTCCAAGAAATTTTAAAACAAATGAGAGAGGTAAAAGCAGTTGAAAATGCTGAAAGTTTTGTTCACTTTAAGGGGTTATTGTTGAGGCAATATTGCTCATTAAAGGAATTTTAATGGCTTAAAAATTAAAGCTTTTCAAAGTCAAGTACTTTATCCCTTTGGAAGTTTTAGCAATTTAAACTTGAATAATTTTCATGACCAAAGTAACTGCAAAACTATAATTTTATATTACAATTGTATTTGTACCATCTGACCTAATTATTAAATGTTTAAACATAATAAACACTAATGAAGTGCTCTGTCACTACAAATAAGCTTCTGGTCAGGGTGCTATTGTCATTCTACTTTCTTCTTGTAGTTTTGTTACTTTTCTCGTGCTTGTCCACAGAAATTCCCACCAAGAGTCAAAGTTCCACTTGCATACTCCTGTGTGTGGAACAAGGGTTTGGGATCAAAGAGTCTGCCTTTTCATTCTGGGCTCTGCTACTTATTACCTCTTCCTTGAATCTATATTTTTAATCTAGAGTTTCTAATAGTTGTGATGAGGATCAGATGAGATATAAGGCAGAATTGCATTTGTCAAATGGCTAATATATGATATGTATAAGATATGCTAAGTACTCAGTAAATGGTAATTGTTTTTGCTATTTCTGATTTGGGCTTGGATTTTAATTTATTTTTTATTGAATGTTGGATAGGTATTTACCCATTCACACAATGTTGTCTAAATGTTCATCATACTTTCTAAAGTTAAGGGATAAAGTACGCTGAAAGGTAGCTATTACCTAAAATAATAACTATACCTCAGGCGAGATAATACATATTATGAATTGAGAATAAACACGCATTAAATAAGTGGTAAAGCGATACAAATTGAGTTTATACAGTAGAAAATAGAAGGGGGTTATTTCTATTGGCAGCCATAAGGCTAGAGTATGTTGGGCATAATTCTTCTTTACCAGATACAATGTTTTGTATAGAAGTATACTCAGTAGATTTTTTAATTCTGTGTTTCTGGAACTAAACAGAAATGTGTGGAAATTGTAGAATTGGGCAAGAAATGGAATTAGAAGATTCAAGAGTTAATCCAACGGATGTGCATAGATTGAAGAAATAAGTCCAAGAAAATAATAAATGGATTAGAATTTTGCAATCTCTAGTACTCATAGTTTTTTAAAAGCAATATTAATCAATGAAATACATATATGTGCATCCATTCTATGCCAAGAACATCACAGTTACCTTGGTACTTGAGACACGGAGACAAATAAGACACTGTCTATCTCTATAAAAACATCATAGACTTTCATTCTAGTGAGAGAGAAAAACACACATAAACTAGGAATGACAAAATAAGACACATACAAATAACAACGTGTGAAGCATTTCATATTTACAAAATAAACATAAAATACTGTTCATTTTCTGAAAAACTTTCTCCATTTATCTTGAAATATGTAGTATTTCTGTCAAATTTTATAATCTATTATTAGGTATAGAAACATAAATACAGAGATAAGTTTTTCAATAATAAAAATATTCCCAGTGGAAAATGGCGATGGATACTTAGTCTTAATGTCAGTGGCATCACAGGGATTGGTACAGACACTGGTGAACTAAAAATATCACACGGTTTAAAGGCAGTGGACTATACTTGGAAATTGTTGCTGTAGACAACAGCAGGCTCAGCATTACCAAATTATCTCATTTTTTTGAGTAGAAATAAATTTTGATATTTTAATGTGCAAAGCCTTTAAAAATGTGTTCAATTCAAAAAAGTGGCTAAGAAAAAAATTAAAAATAAAGTTTAAAAAACCCTCAAAACTATATCTGTGGGTGGAATCAACATTCAGGTTTCTGCTGTTTGATCCTGAACTCAAGGACTTATAAAAGGGAGGCATGAAGAAGAGCTCTGCAAAAACTATAGAAAATTGGAAGATACAGAAAGAACACTGAAGAAAAAGCTACTGTCCTTAGATTTTCTATGGAAAATTAGGTCAGGTATAAAGAACATATTCCTAATCAGATGAGGAACTTTTAAATCAGTGAAATCATAGAACTGCTTCTTTGGAGGCCTTAATTTTTCATCTGTTTGGGGTTATTTAAATGAAGCCATTGCAAGTGTGTCCTATTTTTTCAAAGTATATTTTGTGGACTCCCCAACTGTAATCACAGGATGTGCTTGTTAAAATGCAGATTCCCAGACACCTTTCCAGATACAGAATCAAATATTTTTGGTTGGGTACAGAATTCTGATTTTTTTAAAAAATTAACTCTAGTTAACTTTGATACAAAGTACATGTTGAGAATTATACCACTGGACTCACAGCCACCAAAGACACTTGTTTAGTTGGCGACTTTGAGACCCAGTCAGACTTATGAGTACCTCGGAACTGGAACCCAAGAGACGTATTTATAACAAGTTTAACTAGGTGACATTAATGTGTCTTCAGCTACATGGAGGCTATATTTTATTGCATTATATATTCTTCCTTCTTGTTACTAATTTCTTTGGATGCCCGCTTTTACAATAAAATTAATAATTTAGAAGCTTATAACTTCTTTGTAAAATGGCATTTCTAGCCCAAATACTTGTTTAAATTCAGCATAAAAAAGAAAACCTAGTTCATAAGTGATATGTCATTAAGGATCACTGTTGTTTATCATGAATTTCATTGTATCTTTAAAAACATGACGTTTTTATTTTTATTTTTTAATTTTTATTTATTTATTTTTTTAAGTAGAGACTGGATTTCACCATGTTGGCCAGCCTGTCTCGAACTCCTGACCTCAGATGATCCACCAGCCTTGGCCTCCCAAATGCTGGGATTACAGGCATGAGCCACTGCACCTGGCCTAAAAATATGACTATTTGGTAAACATCACCAGGGTCCTAAGAATATTGTGTAGATTATTTCCAGTGGGATGGTAGCCATTGAGCAACCAACTGATCAAATTTTAAGATCTTGTAAGATCTTGTAAGATGTAAAATGTAGCACTTTCGTAATTACCTAACTTATTTGTGAATCTGCTTTTGAATAATAGTAAAATTGTGTTTTCAAAGCCATCTTACTCAGAAGTAAATTATGTTAATATACAATAAAGAGAACATACACTTTTACTATATGTATATGGAAAATTACTATATCATAAGGTCTTCTATACAGCTAAAATTTTTGTGACCTGGGTACCTGGACTTCAATTGAGTGAGAAAATGAAACTAAGAAAGTTACAGCATTGATGAATAGCATAGTATATACTATATTAACAGTCATTACTATATATTAAAAAGTAGCTTAAAAGAAAAGAAAAGGCCAGGCACGGTGGCTCATGCCTGTAATTCGAGGTGGGAGGATCACAAGGTCAGGAGTTCAAGACCAACCTGGCCAAGATGGTGAAACCCCAACTCTAAAAATACAAAAAAAAAAAAAAAAAAAAATTAGTCAGGCATAGTGGCGGGCACCTATAATCTCAGCTACTTGGGAGGCTGAGGCAGAGAATTTCTTGAACCCGGGAGGCAGAGATCGCACTGAGCTGAGATCGCCACTGCAGTCCATCCTGGGAGACAGAGTGAGACTCCATTTCAAAAAAAAAAAAAAAGAAGAAGAGTAAGAGTAAGAATAGGAGAAAGAGGAGGATATAGAATGGAATAAGAGTCACAGAATGAGAGTATTCAGCCCAACTGTAACTTTGTTTTCAAGATATATTAGAAGCCTGGGGAATTCTTCTATAAATTCTACTTCCCATTTAGCATGTTCTAAAGTTCTTCTGTCATGTCAGTATAATATGAGAAGAGGTAATGTATTTTGATACCTCCTGTTTTCTATAGACAAAGTATGTAGATTAAGTACATGAGTATTTGAGGTTCAAATGCACCTATTAAAATGACAGTATAAGTATCTATTTAACTGGAGCAATAAACATACATATCTTTCCTAAAGTGATACTTAGGTTATTACAAATGCCCTATTAGGTTTAGTTATCTTCCTCATTTAAAACACTTTCCACATACAGATAGTAGTAGACTACTAACCTTATGCTGGAACATACATTATGATGTAAAACCGGGGAAATATTTCAGGTAAACTCATTCTCAGCAGTGGTACATGATTATGAAGCTGTGTTTTATCAACATGATTGCTGTGAGCACCAAATAAGAACATGCAAGTAGCTTGGTTAGCATAATGTATAGCACAGAGTAAGAATATAACAAATGTGAGTTACTAGGATTGTAAAGATTATCATTATTATTGTTTGAATAGTAATCTCTGTATGTAAATAGACATACATATTCTACTAACAGATTTGTGTTATCTACTTGAGTGTGTGTATATATGCGTGTGTGGCTATGTGGGCACCAGTGGAGCAATAATGAGTTTGCTACATGTTATATATTTCTAGAATCACTAATTATGTTGAAATATTATTACAAAAGTATGTGCCTTAACAAACTAATAAATACTTTGGTGTCTAAATAAGCTCACCATAGAGCAAAATATATGAAGACACACAGAGATAGCTATATATAGAGACAACGGCAGCATGTTATTCCATATGGAAAAAAAAATTTGTATCTGCAGATAAAATGGCACTCCAGGAGGATATCAAAGCATCAAATGGATGTTTTCATTAAAAGAAAATTTGTACATGAATTTTTAAAATTTCAGTTCATGATGTTACTCATTAGCTCTATTTTTAACAAAATGTTCCCTTTTGCATAGAGAAAGGAAAGTCAAACACTGATCTTCAATATTAATAGTTAAGAACCTGAAAACATCTTACATTTTATTTTATAGGTTTAATCTAACTTAAAAAAAATGTTAAATAAAAGACAATGAAATTGAAGACCCCTCCTGGAGAAACTAGTGAGGATACTAATATAGACTCTACCTCCTCAAAAACCTAACTTCAAAGAGATTTTAAAGAAGTCATCAATTCTCTCACATGGCAGACTGGGATAACATCTGTTAATAGAGACTTAAAAAAAGTAAGTAATTTAAGGAAGAAGGGTTGATAATTCATTGATTGGGATAAGAGAGGAAATGGCAAGAGAAACAGGTATGGTTTCATAATGACATTGAGATAAGTCTCAAAGGCTGAAGGAAGAATTTAATATAATTATTACATCTAGTGATACTGATGAGAAACACATCCTTTCTCCCTCAGTTTTCTTTTTGTGCGTAATCTTGTAACAGATTGTTCATGTTTTCAGTAAATACTGGGAGTGAGGAATGGTGGAATGCAGAGATGTTAAGCAGAGGGATTTGGTCCCACCAAAGGTACTCTAAATTAAATAAGATGTGCTCACTTTGCAAAAGTGACTTCAAGATAAGTGCCTAGCTTCCACCATTACTGCTATACTCCACTTCTAACAAAATTATCATCTTTAATTTTCTAGACTGCCGCACTAGAACCATCATAGTGTGGACCAAATTTACACTATTTTTCTACTTCCTATTTCTATTCTTCTAAAGTTCTTAATCTGTGTTCTAAATCTGGGACTGGGCTTCTAAGAGTAGGTTCACTGATTGTGTTATCCAAGACAGGGGTTGGCAAATTATAGCTCACCGGACAAATCCAACCCACACCTGATTTTTGTAAGGCTGAAAGGGTAAGAATGGTTTTGACATTTTTAAACAGTTGGGGAAAAAATCAAAAAAACAGATATTTCTTAACATGGGAAAATTATATAAAATTTAAATGTCCACAATCTTGTTCCCCTTTTAAAGATATATTGTTGATTATTTTAACACTACAACAACCAGAGTTAAATCGTTGCAGCAGAGATGACGCGGCCCACAAAAGCCCTAAAGATTTACTTTGTTCTTTACAGAAAAAGTTTGCTGACCCCCAACTCAATAACTTATTTTATATAAACATAAATTTTTCAGGAAAATAATACTGTGAACCCATAATATGATTGTAGCATAATGGGAAAATTAGGCAAAGATTGATAAAATACCAATCTTATTATTATACAGTCACATATCATATAGGAAAAATCTGATACAATGGATTTAATATATCAGATGGGAATTTGAGATAAAAAAGATTCTAATATTTCTAGTCTTATAAATGAAACTGAGCCTAAATGAAGCTTTCAGGGGAAATGATCATGTAAGACAAATTACAGGGGTTGGTTTCTAAAACCGATTCTTTTTACTCTTTACTGAAGGTCAAGGATACTGAATGTGCCAGTGCACCTTCAGAAAGCAGCCTGCATCAGCACATTTAAACCACTGAATGGTCTCACCACCTAGTTTCTTGCGAAAGCTGAGCAATACATTTTGTGATAGATACCACTGAGAAAGTTAGGCAGAAATTGTTATTAGTAGTATATGACAATCATAATAGTCTAACTTTTACTGTAAAACTCTATTATTTATATGTTTTCTGTACATCCTGTAGGATTGTCTGTATTTTGCAATAGAATTGCAATGTGTAAGAGAAAAAGAGGCAGTCTATGTTTCCATTGTCATTCTAAGGGACATATTATCCATACAACACCTCCTTTTTCCCCTTTACTGAAAAGCTGTGTATAAAACACTCTACCATGCTTTCCTGAAACATAAAAGAAGATTTATTACTATTTTAATAAAGAAGTAAGAACAAAAATATCCAATCTCCTAATATTCAATGGAGAAGAATATATATTCTTTTTTAGGAGGACACAAAAATAGCAAGCTTAAGTATATTCTGTTCCCTAAGGTACTGTGTAGGTGGAGAAAATTATTTTTCATTTAAAATTATATACTTGTAGTTCATTTTAAGTAAGCCCAGTGGACATAAAGCTGATTCATTCACAAATGCAAAATTTTGTTGTAATTATTTGCTTAACCAAAGCAATATTCATCAAAAATGGATTAATGCTAGGATTATTTTATTTCAAGTAAATGAACATATATTGATTAGTGACCTTCCAAACCCCATGCTAGCAACAGTAATTACTATTATTAATAAAATACATCCTCTAGTGCATATTAAATGGTTCAATTTATTAAATATGCTGATCTCTGCATACCTCCTCAAGATTATTTTTTAAGAAAAGTTTACTTTGCCTGAGAAAGAAAAGATGAAATATGCAAACACTAAGTTTACTAAAACCACCAAATACAAGCTGCCTTGGAGTCCCGTTGTTCTGAATTGTCTTACCCTCTTAAAATCAGATGTTTTAAGCAGATAACTCAATTTTTCATACAATATAAAATGTCCAAAATCCGTGTAATTCTCTGCCTCTGAATACATAGTCTCTATCTATTTTTCTCATTGTTTTAATCTAAAAGGAACATTATGTTTTCTCTTTTTAAAAGTACCCTCCTTCAGCATTGTTTTTACTTCTAAACTCCTTAGATTTTCTCCTCAAATCCCATTTTTCTCCGCACAATCTCATCCTCCTTTAGCTAGAATCACTCACTGGTGATTAAACAGAGTCACGCAGAAAATAATGAATGCAAAAATGTGGGCAGGAAGAAAGAGAAGGGAAGAAATATTCTTCAGGAAAGAAAATGAAACGGTATTTGTCAGCGATGTTGTAAAGGGGAAGAAACATTAGAGAAAGGGTGATTGGTTGATAGTGTCAAACGCTGTAAAGAAAGGAAAGAAGAGGTATTTTTTAAATTAGCAAAGTGGAGAATCATTTTTAAACTTTGAGTTAGAGTTATTACTGAGGAATGAGAATTTAAGTTTCCTTTGTGGTTTTCTGTGCTTACTAAATCACCAGCTCTTCTTATAAGGTGAGTGATATATAGTAAGAATGAGAGTCTGTGGGGAAGGCTGGTGAACATACTTTGATGAAAAAATGGACTGTAAAGGAGTACCATCCCTGTCATAGGAAGAGATATTTTAGTGTCTGAATCTGTGAGGGGGTGTGTGGAGGTCAATGTTGATGCTCTATGTATCTACCGGAGGAAATTTATGTGTGTGTGTGTGTTTATCTATTGTAAGGGGAAGCCGTGAGATATCAGACTTCCCTGGCTTTTCCTATCTCTGATAAGAAACACTGTAGTTCTAGGGAAGCTGAGCGCTGGAAAGGACCTTGACTTTGATAAATACAATAATTGGTGACAAGATTTAAATTTTGTTTTCCATGAGTTCTGGTGATAGGGCATTCTGGCTTGTTTTATGTCATTTGTCCTAATCCTCTTAACCTCTTAACCTATTCTACAAACCACTTTAAATATTTCTTCTCATTATTCCAAACCCTTGCTGTCAAACATCATTGTAACCTGTGTGTATATATATATATAATATATATAATATATAATATATATAATTATATATAATATATATAATATATATTATATAATTATATATATACTATATAATATATATTATATATAATATATATTATATAATATATATTTTCTATATATTATATATAATATATATTATATAATTATATATATATTATATATAATTATATTATATATATATTTTTCCCACTACAGTGGGAAAAACCATTAATCCAGTGGCTATTTCCTGTACACTATCTCTCGTGTCTGTGAGCTCCTTTCTGTTTCTATTGCCATCAGTGTCTTTCACAACCTCCTCTTTCTTTATGATGTGTTTCAAAGCAGATTCTTTATTTTCATTCTCCCAAGACCTGCTGCACCTTGCCTACTAATGTCAGATACGTTTTCTTCAAATGTCACACTTCAGGTTAGTTATTTGATTGAATGCCTATGTGATTCCCACTACTTCCATATAAAGTCCAATCCAATCAACTTAATTATTCACAGTTTTGTTCAATTGATTTTACTTTCCCTGCCTGACTTTCCATTTGTCTATTCAAGGTAGACTAGTTTCCACCATTGCGCTGACTTCTTGCCCTGAAATCACTACTTACAGCCTTACTCATCAAAGCAAACGACATCAATTAATGAAGTAAAACTCTTGTCCTAGGCTGTCTATTGGTCTTCTCTGATCCTTTGGCGGCAGAAGCTCTGCATACATCCATCTTGCCTAGACAGTGTTATGCAAATTAACACAACCAAAAACAAAAGTCAAATTGTGGTTCCTTTTATATATTTTATAAGTACTATTATTAATAATGAAAAGACTTTTTTTTAAAATTTGACTAACTTTTTTACATAATACTATCTACTTCATAACATGAAAGGATTAAGTGGATTTTTATAAATAATGTGCATAGAACCATGCTGAGAAAAATATGAATGTTCTAACATTGGTACTGATTGTTATTGTTATTTTTACTGCTAATTCTTAATTAGTAGAGACAAATGTTGACTGAACTATTTCTTTGGCGAGAAATAAATAATGCCATATTTTGGGCTCTTCAAGCCGAGTCTCTTCTGGCTTGGAACACTAAACTATATAAATTGACCCTTATTATTTAAAATGTAAACCACATTAAAAATTCATTTTCTTAATCAAGATGAAGCTAAGATATTTGGTTTCCAAACCATTAAAATTTTTATGAGCAATTCTCTGTAAAAGCATTTACCTCTGGTATAGTCGACTACTAGTTATGTACTAATAACTATTACTAGGATCCATTAGCTACTCGCTTTGATCTGTGTTGTCATGAACAGGAAGATTTGGAAACTGTTGATGGTTTATACATTGACTATACAAAATACTATATTTTAAAATGAAATCATATGAAATTAATTTATCAAGATTAACTGTAGTGATTACAAGGAAAGAACAGAGAGTACATGTTTGATACATTAAAAAATCTTTTCAAAAACCAAAGAAAATCATGGGTTTAGATTATAAAGTCATAAGGTGATAAGGCAACTTTTGCTCATGCGGAAATATGTTAATTAGTTTTATAATATTGTTTCTCCATCGAAGTACTTATACACGTGTTTGGCTACTTAAAATAGGGTAAAGAAATAAATAAATAAATTATAATGCTCTAAATGAAATTTGGCATATACCATCTCTCAAATTTGCAGTTTATAGTGCAGGAACAAAAAAGAAAAGGGAAGTGTGATGAAAATATTTAGAACCACTTGTCTAGAGTTTAAAAGAATTAGTAGCAAAAATATTACAAAATATAAAACTACTGATTGCCTTGAATTTGTTACCTGATCCCAAGTTATGAACATTAAAAGTGTCATAAAGAAACAAAGTCAGACACTTGTTAAAAATAGCAAGACAGATCTTAGTAAGATACTGCAGTAGGGAAGAGAGACTTCAGTGGAAACTGGGTTCAGCTCTGATGAAACAAAAGGCAGAAGGCTGTTTAAATGCTGGAATATGCTAAAGTAGGGGTTCCCAATCCCTGGGCCATGGACCAGTATGGGTCTGTGGCCCGTTAGGAACTGGGCTGCATAGCAGGAGGCGAATGGTGAGTGAGCAAGTCTAAGTAACACTTTGTATTTACAGTGGCTCCCCATCACTGGCATTATTGCCTGAGCTCTACCTCCTGTCAGATAAGCCACAGTATTAGATTCTCATAGTAGTGCAAACCTTATTGTGAACTGTGCATATGAGGGGTCTAGGTTGCGTGCTCCTAATGAGAATCTAATGCCTGGTGATCTGTCAATGTTCCCATCACCCAGGTGGGATTGTCTAGTTGCAGGAAAACAAGCTCAGGACTCCCATTGATTCTACATTATGGTGAGTTATATAATTATTTCATTACATATTACAATGTGATAATAAAGTACACAATACACGTAATGCACTTGAATTGTCCTAAAATCATCCCCCCACCCCACTGGGTCCGTAGAAAAATTGTCTTCAGTGAAACTGGTCCCTGGTGCCAAAAAGACTGGGGACCACTGTGCTAAAGCAAAAGTACCAAAGCACTTTGAGGTGGATGCTTAATGTGATTAGCCCAGTTGTGTTTGCTAACTGGCACTTACAGAAATAAAGTCCCTACTTTACCACAGAGACTGGGAAATAGAGGCCCTATCTTTCTCAATGGTTACATTTCAAAAGGAGGTCTCCCAGGTCCTTGAGAAAGACATTCCTGAGTTGCAGATACATTTCACAACGACAAGGAAAGGACTACAAGTTTCCTAATGTAAATTCTCTAAGAAAAGGGAAGTCTGGGACCCATAGCCAATGATATGGTTTGGTTCTGTGTCCCCACCCAAATCTCATCTTGTAGCTTCCATAATTCCCATGTGTTGTGGGAGGGACCCAGTGGGAGATGACTGAGTTATGAGGGGGAGACTTTTCCTGCTGTTCTCATGATGGTGAATGGGTCTCCTGAGATCTGATGGTTTTAAAAATGGGAGTTTGCCTGCACAAGCTCTCTCTTTGCCTGCTGCCATCCATGTAAGATGTCACTTGCTCCTCCTTGCCTTCCACCATGATTGTGAGGCTTCCCCAGCCACATGGAACTGCGAGTTCTCTATTAAACTTTTTTCCTTTGTAAATTGCTCAGTCTCAGGTATGTCTTTATCAGCAGCTTGAAAACAGACTAATACAGTAAATTGGTACCAGTAGAGTGAAGCTTTGCTGAAAAGATACCTGAAAATGTGGAAACAACTTTGGAACTGGCTAACAGGCAGAGGTTGGAACAGTTTAGAGGGCTCAGAAGAAGAGAGGAAAATGTAGGAAATTTTGGAACTCCCTAGAGACTTGTTGAATAGCTTTGACAAAAATGCTGATAGTGATATGAACAATAACATCCAGGCTGAGGTGGTCTCAGTTGGAGATGAGGAACTTGTTGGAAACTGGAGCAAAGGTGACTTCTGTTATGTTTTAGCAAAGAGACTGGCAGCATTTTGCCCCTGCCTTAGAGATTTGTGGAACTTTGAACTTGAGAGAGATGATTTAGGGATATGTGGCAAAATAAATTTCTAAGCAGCAAAGCATTTAAGAGGTGATTTGGGTGCTGTTAAAGGCATTCAGCTTTACAAAGGAGGCAGAACATGAATATTCAGAAATTTTGCAGCCTAATGATGTGATAGAAAAGAAAATCCCATTTTCTGAGAAGAAATTCAAGCGGGCGGCAGAAATTTGCAGTAGTAACAAGGAACACAATAGGGGAAATGTCTCCAGGGCCTGTCAGAGGTCTTCACAGCAGGCCCTTATACCACAGGCCTGGAAGACTAGGAGAAAATGGTTTCATGGGCAGGGCTCAAAGTCCCCCTGCTGTGTGCAGCCAGGGACCTGATGCCCTGCTTCCAAGCCACTCCAGCCATGGGTGAAAGGGGCCAATTTAGAGCTTGAGCTGTGGCTTCAGAGGGTGCAGGCCCTGAGCCTTGGCAGTTTCCACGTGGTGTTGAGCCTGCAAGTGTACAGAAGTCAAGAATTGAGTTTTGGGAACCTCTGCCTAGATTTCAGAAAATATATGGAAATGCCTGGATGTCCAGGCAGAAGTTTGCTGCAGGGGCCTGGCCCTCATGGAGAACCTCTCCTAGGGCAGTGCAGAAGGGAAATGTGGGGTTGAAGTCCCTACACAGAGTCCCTATTGGGGCACTGCCTAGTAGAGCTGTGAGAAAAGGGCCACTGTCCTCCAGACCCCAGAATGGTAGATCCACTGACAGCTTGCACAGTTCACCTGGAAAAGCTGCAGACACTCAATACCAGCCCATGAAAGCAGCTGGGAATGAGACTGTAGCCTGCAAAGCCACAGGGATGGAGCTTCCCAAGACCATGGGAACTCACCTCTTCCATCAGTGTGACCTGGATGTGAGACATGGATTTAAAGGAGATGATTTTGGAGCTTTAAGGTTTGACTGCCCCCTGGATTTCCAACTTACATGGGGCCTGTAGCCCCTTTGCTTCGGCAAATTTCTCCCATTTGGAATGGCTGTATTTTCCCAACGACTGTATCTGCATTGTATCTAGGAAGTAAGTAACTTGCTTTTGATTTTACAGGCTCATAGGCAGAAGGCCCTTGCCTTGTCTAGGATAAGACTCTGGACTGTGGACTTTTGAGTTAATGCTGAAATGAGACTCTGGGGGACTCTCGGGAAGGCATATTTGGTTTTGAAATGTGGAAATATGAGATTTGGGAAGTGGAATGGTATGATTTGGCTGTGTCCCCACCCAAATCTCATCTTGAAGCTCCCATAGTTCCCACGTGTTTTGGGAGGGAGCTGGTGGGAGATGATTGAATCATGGGGGCAGATCTTTCCCGTACTGTTCTCATGATAGTGAATGGGTCTCACGAGATCTGATGGTTTTAAAAATGGAAGTTTGCCTGCACAAACTCTCTCTTTGCCTGCTGCCATCCACATAAGATGTGACGTGCTCCTCCTTGCCTTCCACCACAATTATGAGACTTCCTCAGCCATGTGGAACTGTGAGTTTTCCATTAAACTTCTTTCGTTTGTTAATTGTCCAGTCTTGGGTATGTCTTTATCAGCAGTGTGAAAATGGACTAATACAGCCAGGTTTTGGCAGAAACAAACATTAACTTATTTTAGCAATGTTGATGTTTGTCAGGTAGACATTTAAGTGGGCTGGGATTGTTAACCTGGGACACAGCCTTGAACTGTTAAAAAGCTGTGCTAGAATTTGTTCAAGTCTCTTAGTGTGGGACATGCACAAAATCATTTATGCTGAGAATCTGCAGTTCTCACAGGCCAAGGTTAAGTCCCAGTCAATAAAAATGCTCGGAGGAGCCTGACTAAAGTCTGGTCAAGGAGAGAGTCTTTGCCATAAGAAACTTAATAATAACTAATATCTCTAGGCTACTATTTGTCATGCAATGAGCTAGTATTTGCAGCTTTTTCTTATTTAATTCTCATATTTCCTCTTGAGGAATATACTAGGATTACTGCCTTTATTTGAAATGTGTAACAGGCTAAGTAATTTTTTCATGAATTAATGCTGTCCTCATTTATTTAAACTGTATTTTCATAAGTTAGCACTAGATACAGGAACCAAGGGAACAGGTGTAGAAGTCCCAAGAAACTGAATGTGTGGGCAAAGCAAAGAATGGCTAAACACACAACATCCACTGAGTTACCATGCACGAGAAGAAGCAGGAAGATGTAGGTCCCCTGTTGGCCTTATATTCTTCCCACATAAATTATAGATTAACATATTTCCTGATTTTTTGAAGTTTCCAGAGATTTACCAACTTGATCTTTCATGTGACTTTCTCTTATTCTGGATTTTCAGTGACTTTTCCTCTCACTTTATTGTCTCTAAAATCACAGAAACCCTGTTTACCACAATTATTTTCTTAAATTTATTTCTACAGGTCTTTAGTTAAAAGGTACAGGGAAGCAGACAAACCTTAAACTTGATAATACGTGGGAAATAATGTTACTGGTATCTTAGAAGTCATGCCAGTAATTCGTCTAAATTTAAGCATCAATTGAAATACGGATGCAAAATTATTATACGTGATTAATTACTTTAGGTCTTTCATCAGTTTATGGTAGAGTAACCAAATTGCCCTTGATGCCTCTCATGTGTCAAGTATTGTTTTGGGTGCAAAGGATAGATCAATAATATGACATGGTTCTTGAGTCAGTTTGGTTATGACTGGAGTTGGTGAGAATGTTAGACTCACATTCATGAGTGGATTTGATAAATACAATGTGGCTGACATGATGTCTGCTCTCACCAAGACTTCCATTTCAGTTCTTTGATTTCTCCTTTGCTTTCGTTAGGAATGGCCTATATTTGGTACACCAAAAATTTACACTAATTAGTGAGCACTTCTCCTACTTTAAAAGAGAAGCTCAAACAGGAAAGAATACACACACACACACAATTTTTTTGGTATGAGATTCAAAATTCCTAGAAAGCTTATGACAAAATTATCAAATTTGTTGAATTCTCAAAATTGCTAAATTTCTGAATAATGTTCATCTAGCTACAGTACTTATTATTCCACCGGAAGAAAGCATATGCTTCAACACAAAAAAAAAATTTGAGTGCAAAACTATTAAGTAAAACTCTGAGAAAACATCATTTTTGTACTTGGCAATAAGGCAATTACTTAAAAAAAGTTAGCTAATATTTGTGAGTGTTACATTTAATTAAACATTAAAGAACTTTATAGAAGTATTTTTAAAAAGGAAGAAAGGAAGAAATGTAATAACCCAGAATTCAAGAGAAGATAAGCAAAATGTTATTTGACAGAATCCAGAAGCACATGAAAAAGTTAATTCACCATGATCAAGAAGGCTATATTCCTGGGAAGCAAAGTTGGTTCAACATACGCAAATCAATAAATTTGATTCACCTCATACACAAAACAAAACTGAATAACCATATCATTATTTCAACAGACTCAGATAAATCTTTTCATAAAATTCGACATCTCTTTATGATAAAAACCTACAACAAACTAGGCATTAAACATACCTCAAAATGATAGGAACCATGTGTGACAAACCTAGAGCAAAATCATACTGAATGGACAAAATCTGGAAGCATACCCCTTGGGAACTGGAGCAAGACAATAATGCCCACTTTCACCATTCCTATTCAACATAGTACTGGAAGTCCTAGACAGAGCAATCAGGCAAAAGAAAAAAATACAAGGCATCTAAATAGGAAAAAAGGCAGTCAAATTAACTCTCTTTGGTGCTGATATAATTCTGTACCTAGAAAACTGTAAAGACTCTTTGAAAAGGCCCCTAGAATTGATTAGCAACTGCAGTAAAGTTTCAGGATCCAAAATCCACATACAAAAATCAGTAGCATTTCTATACACCAATAATGTTCAAGTTGGGAGCCAAATTAAGATCAAAAACCCATTTACAATAGCCACAAAAAAAATTAAGTAGGAATGCATCCAACAAAGGAGATGAAAGATTTCTAGAAGGAGAATTACAAAATACTGCTGAATGAAATCATAGATGAAACAAATGGGAAAATGTTCCATGCTCATGAACTGGATCTACCGACTACGTTTTTCCCAGAACTAGAAGAAAGTCTTCTAAAATTCATATGGAACTAGAAAAGAGCTTGAATAGCTAAAGCAATACTAAGTGAAGAGAAGAAAGCTGGAGGCATCACATTACCTGTTTTCAAATTGTATATAAGGCTACTTTAACTAAAACAGCATGGTATTGTCACAAAAACAAACACATAGAACAATGAAACAGAATAGAAAACAGAAATAAGGCTGCTTACTTACAACCATTTGATCTTCAACAGACTCGACAAAAATTAGCAATGGAGAAAGGACTTTCTATTCAATAAATGGTGCTAGTTTAACTGGCTAGCCATATGCAGAAGAATGAAACTGCACCCTTGCCTTTCATCGCAGGCAAAAATTGTCTTAAGATGAATATAAGACCTAAAACTATAAAAGTGCTAGAAGAAAACCTAGGACATGGCATTCTGGACATCAGCCTTGGCTAAGAATTTATGAGTAAGTCCTCAAAAGTAATTGCAAAAACAAAAATTACAAAAAATAAAAATTGACAGTTGGGACCCTAAAGAGCTTCTGTACCTCAAAATAAACTATCAACAGAGTAAACAGATAACCTATGGAATGGAAGGAAATATTCATAAATTATGCAACTTACAGAAGTCTAATATCCGGAGCCTCTAAGGAACTTAAACAATTCAAAAGTGAAAAAACAAATAAGCTCATTGAAAAGTGAGCAGAGGACATGAAGAGACAGTTCTCAAAGGAAGACTTACAAGCAGCCAACAAACAAATGACAAACCCTCTACATCACTAAGTATCAGAGAAATACAAATCAAAGCAAATATGAGATACTGTCTCACACCAATCGGAATGCTATTATTAAAAAGTCAAAAAATAACAGATGTTGATGATATACTTTGAATATATGTCCCTACAATATCTCATGTAAAATTGTAATCCCCGATGTTGGAGGTGGGACCTGCTTGGAGGTGTGTTTGGGTTATGGAGGCTGATTCCTCATGGCTTGGTGCTGTCCTCATGACAGTGAGTGAGTTCTCATGAGATCTGATCATTTATCATTTAAAATGTGTGGCACTTCCCCACCTCTCTCTTGCTTCCACTCTGCCACGTGAGAGCCTTGCTCCAGCTTTACCTTTCACCTGAGGCCTCCCTAGAAGCTGAGTAGATGCTGGTGCTGTGCTTCCTGTACAGCCTGCAGAACAATTAGCCAATTCAATCTCTTTTTTAAAAAAATTACCCAATGTCAGGTATTTATTTATAGTAATACAAGAACAGCCTAACACAGTTGCTGAGGCTGTGGAGAAAAGGGAATGGTTATACACTCTAGGTTTGAATGTAAATTAGTTCAGCCTCTGTGGAAAGCAGTTTGGAGATTTCCCAAAGAACTCAGAACTACCGTTAGACCCAGCATTTACGTGACTAGGGATACACACTAAGGAAAATAAATCATCCTACAAAAAAGGGACACATTACTTTGTGTGTTCCATCATAGCACTATGCACAAAAGCCAAGTGTATTAGTCTGTTTTCACACTGCTATAAAGTACTGCCTGAGACTGGGTAATTTATAAATGAAAAAGGTTTAATTAACTCACAATTCAGCATAGCTGGGGAGGCTTCAGGAAACTTACAATTATGGTAGAAGACAAATGGGAAGCGAGGCACCTTTTTCATAAGGAGGCAGGAAGGAGAATGAACTCAGGAGGAACCACCATACACTTATAAAACCATCAGGTCTCATGAGAACTCACACACTTCGCGAGAACAGCATAGGGGAAACCGCCCCCGTGATTCAACTACCTTCACCTGGTCTCTCCCTTGACACGTGGGGATTAAAAGGATTACAATTCAAAATGAGATTTTGGATGGGGACACAGCCAAACCTTATCATCAAGACATGGAATCAACCTAAGTGTCCATAGATTGGATAAAGAAAATGTAGTACATATACACCATGGAATACTACACAGCCATAAAACAAGAATGAAATCATGTCCCTTACAGCAACATGGATGCAGCTGGAGACCATTATCCTAAGAAAATTAACACAGGAAGAGAAAAACCAAATACTACATGTTCTCACTTATAAGTGGGAGTTAATTATTGGGTACACATGGACATAAATATGGGAACACTAGCACTGGGAACTACTACAGAGGGAAGAGTAGGAGTGGGTCAAGGTCTGAAAAAATACCTGCTAGGTACTATGCTCACTATCTAAGTGATGGGATCAATCATACCCCAAAACTCAGTGTCACACAATATACCATGCACATGTGCCCCCTGAATCTAAAATAACAGTTGAAAGCATAAAACATAAAATAAAATAAATCTTCGATTGGCATGATAAATGTTAAAAATTAAACATCAAGGGAAACTGTGTGAGAAACATATGGGGATACTCTGTATTACCTTGGCAACATTTCAGCAAATTTAAATTTATTTCAAAATAAAAATTCATATTAAAATTACCCCTGCTAAAATTTTAATTAACAATATTTATAACTTTAAAAAGGAAATTAAATGTGTTTCAAGAATAAGGGGACACTGACATCCTCCTTCTTCCATTCTGAAGAAGATCATAAAACATAAGCACCTGCACCTGCCCCAAGACTGGATCAAAAGGTGAACACACAGATCTATTAATCACTCATCTAAAATTCTCAAACGCTAAGATATTCCATAGACTCTAAAGTCAGACCTGAATACTACCTCAAAGGACTTGAACAAGAAGTTCCAAGAAAAAAATAGCAACAGTAGTTTTAGGAGGAAATGTGCATAATTAATAGGTCAACAAGGATAGGTAAGAGACAGATAGCCTGAATTCCCACTAATGGGAATATTAAAAAGAAACAATGAAAGAAAAGTATATACTTACCTGTACAAATGAAATTGTAAACTAAAGAGAATTCCAGTTTAGCAGATTAAAGCTGAAGTCTTGACTCAAATTTCCATTTGGTCTAAAACCATAATGGAATACGGAGACTGAAAAAAAGCCCAAGTAAATGAGACACATTTCTGTGGAAGGAGTTAAATGATTTTATTTTTTTCAACAGAGTAACCTGAAGAAGGGAGCCTGCATAATCCTGAAGGTCAGGGAGCAAATTAAAGAGTAAAGGGGCATCCACTGGAGATTTTCTTCTGAATGCCTTGGGTTTTAAGCATATCCTTTTGTGAGATGCAAGGGATGTTGGGTTGTAGGCAGAGCTAGAAATCTTTCCCTTCTTATTTTCTAGTTCTTTTCAGAAGTTGCCCTAATCATTTAGAAAGGAGATTTGCATGAACCTGAAAGTTGCAGAGTTTGCTTTGTAAAGAATAAGAAACACTAGTGTCAAAGATCAAATAAAGAAGGCTGGTTGCTTTACCCGTTATTCAGGCAGAGAAGGAAAATAGTGAACTGTGTGGACCATGTCTAGGTTCAAGGAGGAGACAGGTGAAAGCCCAGAGTACCTAACAGTGGAGAATTTCTGGACACTGGAGGAAAAAAGGTTTGATGTGAAGAAGATTCAAAAAGTAAAATGAAAAAGAAACAGTGTAAATATGTCCTCCCCACACAAACACTGGCTCACTGAGGGAAATGGGAGTCTTCGTAATCTCCAAGGTTTCAGAAAATATAAAGTATCTACCTGTAAATCAATTACGCCCCAACCCAATGCTAATGAATGTACTTTCTATGGAGAGATCTCTCTGCAATAACCATGGAGAACTGAAAAACTAAACCTAAATCATAAGAAGAGTTTAGGCACATATTAGGAGTGTTTTAGAGAAAATGTCTTCTGACAGCATGGTTGTACACAAATCAGCCAGAACTTTTCATGACCCCATGCATTAGCTGATATGCCAAGATGCCCATGCACCAGCCATGAATCTCCTTCTGGCCACTGGAGCCAATCCTTATCTTCATAAATACCTTCCATTACTTTCAGGTTTCTTGTGTCCATAGCCAAATGACTGAATTAAACTCTGAAAAACTTGTATTAGGAGCAACCTTGATTCTTACCAAAAACAATACTGCATTTCAAGAAGATGAAACTTTTTATATGGTAAATTATAAAATCTTGCACTGCTTTCTATACTTGTATCAGGAGCACCCTTGATTCTTACCAAAAACAATACTGCATTTCAAGAGGATGAAACTTTTTATAAGGTAAATTATAAAATATTGCACTGCTTTCTATACTTATAAATATTTTGCATATGTCATTATAGCAAATAACAATTTTTAGAAATAATTAAAGTCTCAAAGTGTTCCTTTCTTGAAGTCAGCAGCAGTTACAATTTGTTGTAACTAGAAAAACTGAATAATATTTTATTCATTTTAATTATTGGAGGTCATATAAGTCTCTGGACTTACTGTATTTTATCTAAAACATGTATTTTCATTTTGGAAATGGAGAATTATTTCTTTATTAATCTAAGCATGTCTATGCTTTTAGAATATGAGGCAGGCTCTGCAATTTTCTTACAAGACGCTAAAGGAATGGAAAGCAAAATCAACAAAAGGAAAAGAGACTGAGAAAAAAATTATACATATTGTTTATAAGTTTGGTGATAACAAGAGTTACTTTTAAAGATGCTTGCGCGTATACACTATCTTCCAACTGTTTCAGATGTAAATATATTAAAACAAGCATTTTAACCTCAGATAAATAAAAAAGACACATAGTTAGGCATCTTCACAATTATAAACTGCTGCTTATTCTTATCCATGCTCCTAAAATGCCTTATAATATCTGCTGTCACTGCCTTGGATTATAAGCCCAAAACAGAATTTTCTTTTTTTAATAGATAATATTATAAAGGTGATTTTCTAAGTGTACACGGCCTCTTTAGGAAGATAGCAGTAAGGCTCAGATGTATGATTTATAGAGCAGAGCTTTTAAGCCATAAACTCATCATTGATGTCTTACAGCCAGATTTAATTACCTTCCTGAATTTTGATTATTTTTTCCTTGCTTTAAACAGATCACACATAAAAGTATGCCTACGTGATATATAGTTTTTCTTGTTTTTGAAATGTATACAAATAGTCTCCTATAAATAAATAAATAAATAAATAAATAAATAATTTATTCATTCCTGGACTTGCTTTCTTGACTCAGTCAAGTCAAAGCTAAAATGAAAGCAATTATTTTAGAGACCTATGTAAAATACATGCTTATTTAGCTGAGATTTGCTTCAAAAACTCGAGTAAAACAAAGAGCTCCATGTAAAAATGGTGACATTCGTGTTTAATTTTCCTTAATTCATCTCATATATGTATATATATATATGCACACACATAATTTCATACACTGTGTAATTTTACAATCTGTACTGTCACCAAAATTTACCTATTTTATCTTGTATTCTACCAGAGTTCTATTACATGGAAATTGTGAAGTTCACAGTAATATAACTACTCTAAGTTGTTAATCACATATAATACATTAAGCATTGTGTTGGGTAATTGGCATTCTTTTATCTCTTTTAATTTAATGAAAATTGTATTAGTTAGGATAGGCAATAATGTGTTATGGTAACAAATATAAAACATCAGAAGCCTAAAATAAGAAAAATTATATATTGTTATTCACTCTCAATGTCCAAATTGTTCTGCTATTATACTCACTCAAGGATGTAGGTTGACAGAGCTAATAATGACACACTCAAAAGAGGGAAGAAAAACATCATAAATGATACACTGGATCTTATATTTATCATTCAGAGGTGACCTCCACGAGTTCACTTTTAATCACAAATATTATGGTCATATATCACTTGAAAAACAAAAACACAGAAGTATAATCCTGTCATGTGTCTGCAAAGAAAACGAGAAATATTTGGTAACAGGAATAATGACTAACCTCTCTCAAAAAAAAATTACAAGACAGCCACTATCATCATTTGTGAAGTAAAGAAACAGAAGCTCAAAAAAGTAAGTAACGTTAATAATTGACATGAAGTCATTAATCCAGTAATACTAAAAACTGAATACTAATCCATTTCTAAAACCTTTATTTTTTCCTAGTATTAATATTTTAATTGGAACTTAAAGGTAAAACATTAGACTAATCATCAACAGTTTATGATGCACCATCACCATTAGCAAATAAATGGCGCTTTTCTTAATGGTATTTATTTGTACAGTGCAATGAATATTAAAAATTTGCTTAAACCAAGAATTAGAGTATTACCAACTATATTCATCTGCATGTCTCTATTCTCCCATTCCCCTGTCTCTTTACCCTCAGAGATAATCACTTTCCCATAGGCCAGACAAGAGCCAATCTTGTAAGCAGATGTTTCTAAGTGCAGCAGTCTCAGGTCTCTTTTCTGCATACTGTAAAACTAAATTGTATTTAATTTGCATATATCACATTTTCCTTCCTAATATGAATTTATAAATGTCATGAATGATGTTGACAAACCATGAAACAATTTCATATAAATACATTTTCTAGAAGCCACATATAATAGCAAATGAAGTGGATTTAAGATTTTAGGTTAGGTCTCTGAAATGTACAAACAGAAAGAAGGGGAAAGAGCAGAATTGAAAGAAGAACATGGGCAGGAGGTCACGTCACCAGCATAGCATTCCCAGTCAGCTTTCTAGAGCTAATGACTGATATGACAGAAGAGGCAAACAATCCCAAATCTATAAAATATAACATTGTTAAATTCTTTATTTTTATAACTTATAAATAAGAACATTAATTTCCAATATACCATTGCCCTATTATTTTCCAGTACTAGAAAACACAACAAAATTTTCAAATGATTTACACAACGTCATATCAAGGCAAACTATAGCCATATTGAGACATACTCATGATGTAATATAAGTAAACAAGATGTCAGTAAGTTGTGATTCTCCCAAGTATATAAAAGCCTTTCAAACTTTTATGGCATAGCGTACCTTCTTTCCTTTTTTGAGCTAAAATTTTCTACTCTGTATCACTATATCTATTCCTCTGTCTGTCCTACTCCTAGTCAAGACTCAACTAAGAATCAATCTTCAAAAAAAAAAAAAAAACAATTCAGGGAGGCTAGCTGAAGAATGATTTAGTTACCTATTTTGAGCTCCCATCATCTTCTTGGAACACTATTTTGATAGATATATGAGTTTTCTTGTCAGTATCCCTCACTATGCTGTAAAATCTATAAGAGAGGTGTTAGTTTTCTATCACTATGGTAACAATCACCACAGACTTAAAATAACACTAATTTGTTACCTTATAGTTCTGTGAGTCATCAGTCTCATTAGCCTAAAATCGAGGTGTGGACAGGACTATATCCCTTCTGTAGGTCAAAAGGAAAATCCATTTATTTGTCTGCTCCGGCTTCTGGAGACAGCCCTGTTCCTTGACTCATGGTTCTTCTTCAATTTTATCAGTTAATAACAGTTAATTGAGTACCACTCACAACACGCACTTATTCCATAGTCACATTTCCCTCAGACTTTGAGCTTATCTGCTTTACTCTTTCATTTTCAAGGACTCTAATTATTGTATTGAGCTTTCCTGTATATTCCAAAATAATCTTTTCAGGTCAGCTGACTGGTGAATTTTATCTTCAATAAATTCTCATTTGCTATGTAATGTAACATATTTGCGAGTTCCAGAAATTAGGACATAGAAATAATTGGGGAGTTATTATTCTGTTTATCCCAAGGGGCATAAAAATTATCCAGTGTTTTTAATGAGCTCAATAAATATGGTATTTATCAATCTGAAACAATCAAGTTTCAGAACATGTCTGAATCTATTTGGTACTGTGGACAGCATGAGCAATATTAAATGTTAGAACATCTGAAACAGATGAAGACCTTTTATGTGGACAATACTCAGATCTACTTGACTAATTAGTACAGTCTCTTAAAATAATTCCTTTAGATTAATTCCTTCAGATAACAGATGAGGAAATTGTATCCCAGACAGACACCGTGATTTTCTCTATGTCCTTCATGGAAACAGGGAGACTCCCCCTCCACCCTGTGTCACATTTTGTAACTCGCACAACATAAAAGATCTGCTTGAACCCTGATGACTGATGGTCTCATGAAAAAAAAGATCTTTATTTTCAGCTTTTTGTAACTATGTATTTTAGACATATACATTATGAGACTGGATTGGGGTACCAATCTCAGAGAGAAAGTATGTATTTTACCTTTACATTTTTTTATTTGATTACAATCTAGTAAACAAGTTAAAGAAAGAAACCCATGGCCTCCCAAATAATTGACAGACATTTACAATTAAGATTATTCTTTCAAAATTCAAGTTTTGAATTTGAGGTAAGAAATATCCCTTCAGAAATCTCCCACATTTTTGCTGTATCTACAGTATATCTCATTATACTCAGTTAAGTCATTCAGTAATAACTAAAATCCTAAAGTACTTCGCCAAAAATTTAACCAGATAAAAACAATTTTAAAAAGTAGCTAATGAATTTAAGATAGTGCCTGGCTTCCATTTTTTACACTTGTCAACTAGCCTATCTTTTATTATTTAATTTTTATTTATTTCTCAAAGAACTAAAGTAGATCTACCATTTGATCCAGCAATTCCACTACTAGGTATCTACTCAAAGAAAAAGAAATCATTATATAAAAAAGACACATACACATGCGCATTTATTTGCAACACAATTCACGACTGCAAAGATATGGAATCAATCTAAGTGTCCACCAACCAATGAGCGGATAAAGAAAACATGGTATATAGACACCACGGAACACCGCTCAGCTATAAAAAATAACGAAATTATGTTTTTTTTTGCAGCAACTTGGATGGAACTGGAGGCCATTATTCTAAGTGAAGTAAGTCAGGAATATAAAACTAAATACTTCAAGTTCTCACTTGTAAGTGGAAGCTAAACTATGGGTACACAATGATATACAGAGTGATATAATAAACAATATCCTACCTTAACAAGCCACTGTCCCTTTAATTTTATCTCCTGTATCCCGTAAAAAGGACGTAAAATTCACAGGTGAGTACTATTCTTAATGTCTCCAAAATTAATAGCTGTGCTTGATGTTTTCTTATAGAATTGAAATTCCAAATATATGCTTATAAATAAACGATAAATCCAAATTTGTTACATTGTACACATGTTGCCACTTTGAAAGTTAATATTATTTTCAACTTCCAAAGTTTGTAATAATATTTTAAGAGATTCAGACAAACATGACCTCAGAAGAATCTATGAGGAGGCATACATATTCTTTAGCCCTAGATATATAAAATCTTATTTGGTCAGAGAGTTAAGAGTTATAAAGTATTTCTTGGAGCCGAGTCTAAATTTCTTCATTTTGTTACATTAAAAGGCAAAAAAAAAGGTCTCAGAAGTTTAAGTTTTTGAGAGAAAACTACATTCTAAAATTCATGTTTGAGGATTATTTCTCCATAATTTGACTTAAAATGGTTATTTTAATAAATTAAATACAAGATACTAATGCCAAATGATAAGGCAATAGAACAGTTACATATTTGACATCACTACAAAGATATTCAATACATTGAGTTGTTTATAATAGTGAATAAAGTAGCCAAAAACTAATAAATAGGAGTATTCCTCTGAGAGTCTGGTAACATATACTGTAAAATCCGCAAAATGTATATGGGAACACCACCAAAAGAAACATGATTAATGTTGATGATTCTGAGGTTTTCAAATAGATTCGTGTGTATCTGCAGCCACCCAACCACACATTAACCCTGTCACCTGAAACTATCACTATTTAACAAAAAAGACTAATGAAACAATGTACTTTCCTGATATATGGCACTGAATAAAATATACCTAGTGATTATAGATAGATTTTTAAAAGCTGGTCATGGTGGTGCATGCCTGTAGTCCAGCTGATCTGGAGGCTGAGGAAGGAAGATCACTTGAGCCCAGGAGGTCAAAGCTGTAGTGCATCACGGTCATACCTGTGAATAGCACTGCACTCCAGCCTGGCAACATAGCAAGACCCTGTCTCTAAATAAATAAATAAAAACCAGTTAGAAAACAAAATGAGAAAATTGAGAAAAATAATTTATAGTTAATGTTGCTTCCATCTGAATGTGTAATTTGATAATAAAGTTATTTTGCATATTTAAACATAATTTCTTTAACAGGAAAACAGAAATAAAATCAGAAAAAATGTAAAAATTGGAAATTTTCTGCCTTCCTGATAATTTTTTTTTTTTTAGAAAATCAGGGCAAAACATTTAGGAATACTTACTATTATTGCAAAAATTTAATATCATGGGTTCAAAGACACTTGAGATATATAAGTATGTACCTTTAATACTTTTCTATTTGTTAAATATAGCTTAGTAAAATAAATGAACTAATAAAATTCCTAAATGTTTTACTGAACAATGATTTTTTTCCTTGATGTTTAGATGAAATAATATAATACCTACAAAAAGATACTAAGTGATGTCACCCTGCGTAGCTTGAATAAGGACATTTACTGAAACATTTTTATGAAAAATAAACATATTTGATTACATAATTTATATACCTTTTCCCTCCAGATGTTTCCTTTTTTCCTTCCTTATTCTTGAAATTACTTATAAATGACAGGAATTTTATATGAGTTCTAAAATCAGAATAAGAGGAAGAGTGGAAGAATTAGAAAAAGAAAAAAAAAATGCCAGTTGTGCACTTCTTCACGATGCCTTTTTAAGAGTCTTAGTGACATATTAAAAAGTACAAACAGGCCAGGCTCAGTGGCTCAAGCCTGTAACCCCAGCACTTTGGGAGGCTGAGGTAGGTGGATCACTTGAGGTCAGGAGTTGGAGACCAGCCTGGCTGACATGGTGAAATCTCATCTCTACTAAAAATACAAAAATTAGCCGAGCATGGTGATGTGTGCCTGTAATCCCAGCTACTCAGGAGGCTGAGGCAGGAGAATAACTTGAACCCAGGAGGCGGAGGTTGTGGTAAGCCGAGATGGTGCCACTGCACTCCAGCCTGGGCGATAGAGCCATTTCTGTCTCAACAAAATGAATATAATAAAAATTAAAATTTTTTTAAAAGTACAAACATAATTTAGAAATAAAGTTTTGTGTGTGTGTACGTGTAAATAAAGCTTTTCTAAGAACATCATCATAAAACAATTGCATTTGTTTTCATGAAGAATCCAAGAAATGCACAAAATAATCACTTCTATAAATGCTTATCTTGACCACAATCACCACTTATTCAGTTATCTTGATCACAATCACCACTTATTCAGGAACAGATAAGAGATACAAATTTTTAAGATCTAGATCCAGTAGTTATTGAATTAACTACTTTCTTTCTCAAAGTTTTCCTACAACTAAACTGATGATCTCCCTTCTAAATGTAGCCCCTTTAGGATGTTTATATTAGTGAATGGCCCTATTCTACCTTATTACATACCACTTTTCCTCCCTTTATTCCACTTCCACTCCCCATTTGCAATAAATCATACACAGGTACACATATGCAAACACCACACACACACACACACACACACACTGCTGTGTGTATCTGTGTGCATGCACATTTTTCTTTATCTATTTTTCAATCTCTTCACTTGTCTCTAGCTCCACTTCCACCTGCTTAAACTACTATTATCTCTCCGTTGGACTATATTGCTAACTGTTTATTTCACCTCTGATGTTAGTTTTCTTCAGTCTTTACACAAATCCACTCTCTTCACTATAGCGAGTGATCTGTTTTAGAATAAATTGAATCATGATGTTACTATTTCTGCCCCCTTCCCCTGCCCCCACTGGTCCTGTTCCAGCTTTAAAAACTTTAATGGTTTCACTTAGAATGAAGACTAAAATTATTATCATTGGCTAACAAACCTTGGTCTCTACATACCTCCTCAGTTTCATCAGCATTTGATTTACATTGGCCTTTATTCATATTGCTATAGTCTGAATATTTTAACTCCCCCCACCCATAATTCATATGTTAAAATATAACCCCCCAACGTGATGGTATAAGGAGGTGGGCTCTTTGGGAGATAATTAGGTCATGAGACCACAGCCCTTATGAGTGGGATTAATGCCTTATAAGAGGCCCCGAGAGCTGTCTGTGCCTTCTGTCATGTGAGAGCACAGAGAAAAGACCACTGTCAATGAATCAGGAAGTAGGCCATCACCAAACATCAAATTTGCTAGCACCTCGAACTTAGATTTACCAGCCTCCAGAACTATGAACAATAATTTTTTGTTCCTTATAAGCAGTTTAAAGTGTTATGTTTATAGCAACTGTCTATATCAATTTATAGTGCTATGTTATAGCAACCTAAATGGACTAAGACAAGACACTTGATCTCACCTCGCTTACTTCTGGTCATGGAGGCTTATATATTATTCCCTCCATTTAGAATAAACTCCTTGCCCCATTATCTTTCATAGTATCTAGCAGATAGTAGAGACCTTAAAAAATACGTTGAAAGACTAAATAATTAAATGAACTGTCACCAAAAGCAATGAATATATCAGCATATTATATGTGCATTATCAGCTATGCAATGAATTACAGAAAATTCTGTTTCTCTTACTAAAGACATTATGACTATTCCATACCCCAAATGATCTATTAGGTCAGTTTAGAGGTTACAGTTTATTTTACATTGTTTTTTATACCTTATATAGTTATTGAAAATTTATTGAATATAAATAAAAGGACAAAAGTTTTACATTTGGTAATAAATGCCCAAAATATAATTTATATAAAAAGTATCAGTCTTTATTAAAATGACTTTGACCCAAGTTTATTCTTTATAAACGTCTGTTGTAACTCTCCAATGTAAAGAAGGCAAATTGGTGATAAAATTAGTTTTGTTTTATTTTTTGGGACAGAATCTCGCTCTCTGTCCCAGGCTGGAGTGCAATGGCACAGTCTTGGCTTCCTGAAACCTCCGCCTCCTGGGCTCAAGCGATTCTCCTGCCTCAGCCTCCCGAGTAGCTGGGATTACAGGTGCCTGCCAGCACGCCCAGCTAATTTTTTTGTACTTTTAGTAGAGATGGGGTTTCACCATGTTGGCCAGGCTGGTCTCAAACTCCTGACCTCAGGTAATCTGCCCACCTTGGCCTCCCAAAGTGCTGGGATTACAGGTGTGAGCCACCACACCCAGCCATAAAGTTTGATGAACCTACTCTGACATATGTTTTTTCATTTATTTTAGAAGAGTCTCCTCAAATGACTTTTTATATTAAACCTGTTCAAAACGATTTCTAAACCTCAACTCTGAAAGGATGCTCACCAAATACTTAAATGCACTTCAGAAGTGAAAGCAAAGATATGTTTTCTTCCTACTTGCATATAATGAAAGTTAATAATAGAATCTTATTGATAAGTATAATTTGCTAATACATTCAAACACATGTGTTGTCAAAGTTGGTATACATATAGTACTGTGAAAGGAGAGTCTATTTTGATATTTTCCCAGGATAGATTATCATTTTGCCTTTTGTACACACTTTTCTGTTGCTCTCATATGACCTTAATTGTTTAAAAAGTGTTACTTTTTTAAAAAATACATACTTTTGTTCTCTGTTAGAGCAATATGTATTTGGTATAGATTCAGAAAAATATTTGATATAGATTCAGAAAAATATTCCATTTGAAATCTGGGCTTTTAAATCACATAAACATATAATACTAGATGGGTTTCAGTTATTTTCTTTTTTTTTTTTTTGGCTTAGCTCTGGTTCATTTTTTTTAAAATTTTATTTTATTATTATTATACTTTAAGTTTTAGGGTACATGTGCACAATGTGCAGGTTAGTTACATATGTATACATGTGCCATGCTGGTGTGCTGCACCCATTAACTCGTCACTTAGCATTAGGTATATCTCCTAATGCTAACCCTCCCCCCTCCCCCCACCCCACAACAGTCCCCAGAGTGTGATGTTCCCCTTCCTGTGTCCATGTGTTCTCATTGTTCAATTCCCACCTATGAGTGAGAACATGTGGTGTTTGGTTTTTTGTCCTTGCGAAAGTTTACTGGGAATGATGATTTCCAATTTCATCCATGTCCCTACAAAGGACATGAACTCATCATTTTTTTATGGCTGCATAGTATTCCACGGTGTATATGTGCCACATTTTCTTAATCCTAACATACTTTTATATAGTCAACAAATAGATGAATTTTTAAAAATTAATGCCTTAGAAGATGTAAAGCATATTCAGTAAGCTTTGAAAATAACTGAAACCCAAATGTCCTACAATCATAGACTGGGTTCCAGTTATTTTCAAAGCTTACTGAATATGCTTTTCATCTTCTAAGGCATTAATTTTTAAAAATTCATCTATTTGTTGACTGTATAAAAGTATGTTAGGAATCTTTAACTTGCAACATGTCATATTACAATATATTCACTCAAGGTCAACAAAGAGTATTTATTCTTAGTTGACTCCTTCTGGTATTAAGAACATGGTTGAACATTTTCTGTTTTCAAAGTACTTTATCTTAAGCTTCCAGTTACTTGTCTTAGCAATTCCATCATTGGCCAGTCATTCATTCTATTGAACGTCTCTAATGACGGGATAAGGCTAGAAAAAAAGATTCAGAATAACAGTTTCTTTGCAAAGATTTTTCATAATGTATCTTTTAACATTGTATTATGGTTTCAATATTTGCATCTCACTCCAAAATTTATGTTGAAACTTAAACATCAATGCAACAACATTAAGAGGTTGGGCCCTTAGGAGGTGATTATGTCATGAGGGCTGTGCACTCTGTACCTTATAGAAGGGCTGAAGGGAACTAACTAGGCCCTTTTGCCCTTCTGCTATGTGAGAACACAGCATTCGTCTTCTCCAAAGGATGCGGCAACAGGCACCATCTTTGAAACAGAGGCCAGGTCCTCACCAGACAATGAACTTACCAGTGCCTTGATCTTTGACTTCCAGCCTCCAGAACAGTGAGAAATACATTATGTTATCTATAAATTACCCAGTTTCTGTTTTTGTTGTGGCAGGATGACTAGGGCATGTAAATATTGGTATTATACTCAGAAAACTCTTAGATACAAAATTTTCAGTAAATGAAAGATGCATTTCTTGCTATTTTAAAATTTGTAGGTTGGCATGTCTGTGTATTTTTCCTTTATACCTAGGAATGAAGCAGTTGATATGCAAAAATTATTGGGATTTTTGGAATTTAAATTAGCTAGCCGGTGGTAGAGAGATGACAAGAGTTTAGCAACTGCTGAGAGAGACAGAGAGAGAGAGAGAAATGGTAAATAGAAAAGTGAGAATAGAAGAGACTTGAATGAAACCTATTACAAGAAAATGAAGAATGGAGATAGAATAACACCCACACACGAATGAAAAATAGTAAAAGCATTTATAAGAAGGAATTTAAGAAAATAGACAAAAAGTTGTAGGAGATAGAGAAAATTAAAAAAAATAAAAGTACAGATACCAAGTGGTTGCTGAGTTCCTATTATTTGCCAGATACTTTAATAAAATGCAACAGAGAAAATCAAAGACAAGATGGACAGAAATTTGTAAGAAGAATTGTAGCACACAGAATGAAGTATGTAGAAAGTATTATGAGTGTTCTAAGAAAGAAGTGGCCAATATATTGTGCAGGTTTGTGTATGTTTGCATGTGTGTGTAAATGTTTTTAGACAAAGAAAACATTAAGGAATATTGATTAATGATGAAGAAACATTAAATATGCTTTAAATTGAAAATATTATTATAACATACTAACATATATTTATCATTTCTTATATGCCAGAAATATACTACACAATTTTCTTGCATAACATTAGTTAATCCTAACAGTAATCTAATGAGAAAGTTACTATTATTCTTGATTATGGATAGAGATCAGAGCCTTAGAGACCACTCATCAAAAATCATACATTAATATTTTCAGGATTTGAAAATGTTTTATCTGATTTCTAAGCTCATGCTCTTAACTACTATGCCTTAAATATTTATTTTATATTCACACACTACATGTTTTATCGCATGTTAATCCTCTGTTTCTCTTTTCTTTGTTTATATGAAACTATAAGATTTGAATCATAGTTCCTCAAAACTATTTCATTCTTAAAATCTTTTTGTAATCTATTGCAGGTGACACAGACTATTACTACACTCCCACTTTCGCAGTATAAATAACATTCTTTCAACTGCAGCCTGGACTCAGTGTAAAACACTGTATTCAGAATACAAAACTCACGTAAATGAAAGGCTGACTTTCACAGAACCAACTGCAGGACTTGAGTATATATGGATTTTGGTACCTATGGTAGGTCCTGGAACCAAGCCCCAAGGATATTGAGGGACAACTGTATTTTTATCCCCAGAACTTAGCACAAAACTGTCATATGGTAAATTTAATGAATATATTTTGGAGAAATAGACATATAATAATATTTTATCACAACTTCCATCATTTTCCTAAAGTTCCAGGGGGCGGGGCCCACATCATTGTACTTTTGTGATTCCTACACCACTTATTACTAAGGTATTAAAATACAATGATTAAGAGTGTGGCAGCATGATAGGGATTGTATTGGATCAGTAGGGCAGTATTAACAATATTGAGTCTTCCAGTCTGTGAACATAGGATGTCTTTCCACTTGTTTTCATTAATTTCTTTCAGAAATTATTTTTAATTTTTAATGCACTAATCATCAGAGGAATGCTGATACAAATGCAAAAATGATATATCACCTCATGCTTACTAGGATGACCATTATAAAAAACAAAGCAAAAACAAAAGACAAGTGTTGGCAAGGATGTGGAGAAACTGGAACTCCTATACATGATGGGAATACAATATGGTGCAGCTGCTATGGAAAACTGAAAAACAAGTTCTTTAATAAACTGAAAATAGAACTACAATATGATCCATGAATCCTACTTCTAGGTATTCATCCAAAATAACTGAAATCAGGATCTTAAAGAAATATTAGCACTACCATGTTACTGCAGCACTATTCACAACAACCAAGGTGCGGAGACAACCTAACTTTTCATTGACAGATGAATACATAAAGAGAATGCAGTATATACATACAGTGGAATAGTATTCAGTCTTAAAGGGCGGAAAGAAAATCCTGCAATATTTGACAACATGGATAAACTTTGAAGACATTATGCTAAGGAAAATAAGCCAGTCACAGAGAACAAATACTGCATACTGCATGATACCAATCCTACAAAGTATCTAAAGTAGTGAAACTCACAGAAGCAAAGAATAGACTGGTGCCAGGGGAAAGAATAGAATGGTGCCAGGGGTTGGAGAGTGGGAGAAGTGAGAATATGCTAAACAACATGTGTAGATATTTAGTTATGAAAGATAAAAATTCTAGAAACCTGATGAATAACATTATGGTATAAAGATAACAAATACAGTATTGTTAAAAACTTTAAAATATTTTTAAAAGGTAGAACCTCTACTTGACTCTTCTTGCAAAAATAAAAAAAGGATTTGGCAGCATGAGCCAGGTGCCTGAGCCATCTTTATGGCTGTTAGATGTAGGATTTGTGTGAAATTAAGCAAGATAGCTTGAAATTTTAACCTTCTGTTTCCACATCTGAAAAACAGGAATAATAATAAAATTCAGCTTGTGAAATTTTTGTAATGATTAAATAGATTAAATAAGATAGTATATACTTGATTGACCATTGATTTCTTCTTCCTTTGCCAGAAATCTGGCTCACCCCAGAAAATGCTATTTTTCTGTAGCCCTCTCACTAGTGGTGAATGTTTTTATCATATTCTTCCACAACTAGGACCTGAGTTGGGATAGGTCCTGTTTCTTACTCCTTCTTCCCTATTACCACTGCCCTCTTGCTTAAAAACAAACAAAACAAATAAAAAACACTTGGTATCATATCATCAAACTGCCTATATTTCCTCTTCCTCCATTCTCTCTTGAGCCCTCTCCAAACTCAGTTTCCTTTTCAAGGTTAGGAAAGTTTGGAAAGAGTTTCAATTATTCTTTAAATTTCCAATATTTTAATTCAAACTGGTATTTTTGTCAAACTATATTTATTACATATTAATTCCAAGGGGTTCCTCTGATAATCTAAAGTAAAATGTATTCTAAGAAAGAGAAAATTAGAAGGAATGTTGTCCAGTGAACTATTGACACTGCACCCAACCCAGTACATGAAATGTGTATTCATCACTGACAACTTGTGGAATTCATTAAACAGGACAGCAGCAGTGCCTTTCTCCAGTCAGTGTAAATGTAGTTTTTGAGAGGAGGACACCAAAAATGTGACATTTGAAGACAGCCATGATTTGATTATGTGTTTTCTTGTTGCTTTGGATTGTTATCTGTCTCTATCCAACATAAAACAAAATCCGCAAAGATGAGATTTTCATCTGTTTTGTTGTCTGCTATATACACAACAGGTAGAACAGGGTTGGGCACCTAGTAGCCCCTTAAAAATAAAGCTATGCAATTTTGTATAAAGCTATGTAATTTTGTGTAACTTAAATGTAATAATACATTATTAAGTGTGTTATCTATAAAATACAATGTGTGTGGATGAAGGTATATGGTATAAATACAGAGAAGAGTATTTCTAAGGTGTTTGGCACTTACAAATACCACAAACGCTAGTTGTTATTAGAAACCTGATGTTAGCATAACAGGTATTACATAATGCTTGCTATACTTGAATGAATGAATGAAAATACTCAGCATAAAGCATTATTAATATTTGTTTATAATGATATATATTTTTTTCCTGGGGAGATATCATCAGAATTGCATTCCATGAATCCAGCAGATCATGTGTGGACAAATCTTTGATACAACCACATAAAATATTGATGACTGTGTTAACAATGTTCTTTTAAAACATTATCTAAGTCTAAGCCTTAACAGATCTCATCAGTATTCCAATTGTTCAATGAAGAAACATATTAAATGCAAACTAGCTGAACAGTCTTCACTGAGCATTTAGCGGGGCAGCCCTTAGGGGCAGTATAGGATCTTACAAGAGTAGGGAACATTAACAGCATGAACTGGGCCACTGATGTCAGGAACAGCCACTGCATTATGATCCACTAGCGTTATAAACAAATACTCAGAAAGGCAGCTAATAATCCGACATGAGCAAAGAAGAGAGGAAATACCTGAAGAAAGCATGAATTCATAGTTTGAGTTTTCTACAAATACTTTTCTAAATAATACACAATCATGGGATAAATACTAATTTGATCTGTAATAAATTACATATATGAAATATAACAAAAATACTCAACATAAAGCGTAAAGAATTATTAATATTTGCTTATAATGCTCTAATTTTTCCTGGGGAGATATCATCAGAATTGCATTCCGTGAATCCAGAAGACCATGTGTGGACAAATCTTGCATACAACCACATAAAATATTGATGACTGTATTAACAATGTTCTTTTTAAACATTATCTATGCCTAAGCTGAAGAGCTCTCATCAGTATTCCAATTTTTCAATGAAGAACAATATATATGTAATCTATAATTACACATATATGAGAGATTCAGTTAGTGATAACCCATGATGTGATAAATTACACATATACATGTGTGTGTATGTGTGTGTGTGAGTAAATTTTTAGAGATTCACTTAGTATTTTGTCTACACATATAATTTACCTAGATTTCTTGTTTTCCTAACAGGATGCAAAAAAGGTACACTGTGGGGTGGGTAATATCTCCTTACTAAATATTTATTGACTGATTTTGTCCCCACGTCATTGACCAGTGTCATATAAATCAAACTCTCATTACCTATTTTTGAATTGTTGTTTGAACTCCAGCTACTATCCTCAAAGCTCACCAACTTGCCCTTCTAGCTGACGCATTTTATGTCTCAATCTACTTTTTATTCAATGCTTATTTATTTCATTAATCACAAATTGGGTCATTCTGCCAAGTCCTGAGGAAAATATAAGTAACTGAGACTGTCTCTGTTCAGGATTTTATAATCTAACCATGAAAACAAGCATTACATGACATATTATAAAGGGAAAGATGGACATTAATTTTGATTGGGTGTCATCAGTACTAACATTGGAGAACAATAAATAAATTAGTATCAGTAATAAGTAGAATTTTAGTAAAATCTAGAACAATAAACTTTTGTTAAAATTTTACATTATAAAATCACAGGACAGCATGTGGCTATCGCATTTCAAGCTGAGATAACAGATTTGCTCTCAGATTTCCCACATAATAGTTGAACCACAATGAGAAAGCAACTTGAGTTCCCTGTTTCTTTATAGTTCCCTGATCTCTAAACTAGGCATAATAATAGTAAAATACTAATAATTATTGTTATAATCACAAGGACCCTATGGAGTACTTGTGAACATTAAAGAATATAATCTATATAAATGGCTTAATTAATAAATTCTAAATAAATGTTGGTGGTTACTATTAGTGACTGATGCTTACACATAAAATGACTATTGATATGATTCATAATTTCAAGAGACTTCTTGAGTGGTGTATTAGTCTGTTCTCACACTGCTAATAAAGACATACCTGAGACTAGGTAAAATATGAGGAAAGAAGTTTAATGGACTTACGGTTCCACATGGCTGGGGAGGCCTCACAATCGTGGTGGAAGAGCAAGTGACATCTTCCATGGCAGCAGACAAGGGAGAGAATGACTACCAAGCAAAAGGGGTTTCCCCTTACAAAACCATCAGATCTCATGAGACTTATTAACTACTGTGAGAACAGTACTGGGGAAACAGCCACCATGATTCAATTATTTCCCACCAGTTCCCTCCTAGAGCACATGGGAATTATGGGAGCTAAAATTCAAGATGATATTTGGGTGAGGACACAGCCAAACCATATCAAGTAGGTAGGAATTATGTGTATGAAATAAGTAGGAACATTACTTAATGTTATATGAGAAGGCACTAAATACAATCAGTGGCAAAAAAGTGAACCCTACAAGCAATCAATCAAGAATAACTTCTAGGAAGGAGGGAGAAAGAGAGAGAGAATGAGTATTGTTGTAAACTGGAGTTCCACAAAGGAAATTGAGCTTATAAATGAGCCCTGGATAGATGGATTACGAGAAAGAAAAGGGCAAAGAGAGAGGATACAGTAAGAAAAGCAAAAAGACTTTAAAACAATATAGACAGAAGGAAATAAAATTTAACATTCCAATAATGGAAAAGAATACAATGTGAGTAAACAATTGGTGTATGTTGAGAAATTCTGGGAAATAATATGAGTAGGCAAAGCAAGAATATATCACAAAGGGCCAAGAAAGCTTAGATGTGGACACAATCCAGTAGATAGTGGAAGAAATGTTAGGAGATACTTGAGAAAAGTACTGTTTTAGGAAATAGAGATTAGCGGTTCACTGTTTTATTAAAAATAGCTGAAAGACAGAAGCTGAGTCACTTCAACTTCTGCAGTAAGCAAAGCCATAGTATGCAAACTGGCCTTTAAATCCATGGGGGAATGTATTATCTCACTTTCATGGTGCACATCTATCATGGGTAGGTGAAAGCAAGGGAAGGAGAGATCCACTCCACCTAGTCACTCAAAGATAAGGGCTGACTGAGGCATTACCTTTTACAGCTGAACCATCTGTGATACATATCTTCTTAAGTTGTTCTGGCAGAAGAGCGAGAAAATGAAGAATTTCACATAGATTTTTGTTGCATCAGCCCAACAATAATACGTCATACTTACTTATATTTCACTGCCCAGAGATAGTTATACAGTTCTGCCTAATAGGTGAATATTTAAACAACTCATCAGAACAAACTGAATATTTGCAAAATATAACTGTTTCCTACAAATGCAATGTGACAAAGGTGTAAAATTATTTATTTATTTCACAAATGCACATGGAACACCAAATGTGAACTAAGATTTCAATGACAAAAAAAAAAAACCACACCTACCTTCCCAGTTCTTATATGCAAGGAATTTAATGTCTAATTCCAATTTTCATTGAATAATCTAGACTAAGCTGTCCTAGGAAAAGGGAGTAAATGTAGATAGAAAATGACATATTCCCTTGTACTGCCCCATTTATCTCATCAGTCATTCTGCTTTAAAGGAATTATCTGGTCACATTTTATCTTCTATTCACATCTGCTACTTTCAGGACCTTTCTTTCCCTCCTCTTTCTTTGAGATTTTCAGTTGCTGCTCTGCCTTGTCTTCTGTGTCCATTCTTAGCTCCAATCCTGAGACTCAGCTGGAGTCTCAGAGGCTTGCATCTGAGCACTCTGCATTGCTCAGTGACTAAGGCAACTGAATTAGGGCAGGGACACCTGGAATAGCTCAGTCCTCCACAGCAGGTGGGGTCTGATAAAAGCCATATGCCTAAGACCCTGCAGTATCAAAGAACTAAGACTCGCAGGCATTCCTAACTGGAATCTATCTCTATTTCAGTGTTATGGGCTAGATTGTGTTCCCCAAAATTCATATATTCAACCTCTATCCCCTAGTAACTCAGAATGTAACTATATTTGGATATAGGGCTTTTGAAGAGATAATTAAGTTAAAATGAGGCTCTTAAGGTGAAACCTGTAAGAAGATACTAGGACACAAGGAGAGACATCACGGGTGTGCCTGTACAGAAGGGCAACAATGTGAAGAGGCAGCAAGAGGGTAGATATCTGAAAGCCAAGGAGAGAGGACTGAGGCAACCAGCTCAACTAGTACCTTGATCTTGGATAATTCCAGTCTCCAGAAGTGCTTAAATTTCTGTTGTTTAAGCCACCTAGTCTGTGGTATTTAATTACGGCATTCCTAGTAAAAGGACAACTTTTATCTCTGTTTCCAATAAACATTTCAATCCCATGGTAGGAAAATGACAATCTGCCTAATCTCTGCCACCTCCTAACAAAAATCTTGTTTTATTAAGAATACAAACAAAACATATTTTATATAATTTTCTTATAATTTTATTAATGTCTGATGTACCAGAAAATGACACATAGGTATTGTATGCTTTGCCTTATTTGAACTCATGATAACCCTATGAGAGAGGTAGTACCATTTTCCTCATTTTATAAACAAGAACAGATGACTTAGATCAAGTAACTTGACTCTGATAACATATAGGTTAAGTAGGAGAGCTCATTCATCTAACACGGTTACCTTTCATGACAATGATGATGAAAACAGCTAACAGAGTATCCACGTGACCATTATTCATCTAAACCCCTTACATTAAATAATTGGACATTCATAATATTCCTATAATGTAAGTATTCCTACTAGCCGTGTGTTATAGACAAGGAAATTTAAGCAAAGAGATATTGAGTAATTTACTATAGCCACAGAGCTACAGAGTTTTGGAGCCAGGATTCAGATCTAGGCAGTCCAAACTGAAGGTGTGTATTTTTAACCACCACATTCTACTGCTTCTCAAAGTTTGGAGTAGGTATATTAGCATCTGGTAATGGCTGTTGAGGATATTTTAAAACTTAGGTAATGACTTCTGCTATTGTATACTTTTAGAAAACTGGATTGGGATCAAAACTGTCCAGTACATGCTATTTTGTTACCTTTGGATTCTTTTAATACCTAACCTTGTGCGATTGGGGTCATAGCACAGCATGTATGATCATCATTGCTGCAAACGGATACACATCTTAAAAGTGCCAACTCAGTGTTATTCAAATTTTTCCTGAAATTTCCATATGCTTCTCAAGTTCCTTAACTTGAAAACTCAAAATTCTTCCTGCAAACATTTTCTGATTATCTCTACTCCAAAATGTTTTAACAGTTAGTCAATTAGTTAATTAAAATTTTAATTGGCAAATAATTGTGCACATTACATATTTTGGGGTACAATGTGATGTTCTGATATACATTTACTTTGTGATTAAATATGCTAATGCACAAATTTATCACCTCATAAACTTGTCATTTTATGGTGAAAACATTCAGAATCTATTCTTTTAGTAATGTTGAAACACACAATGCAATATTATTTATTATTGTCACCATTGTGTGCAATAGATCACTGAAGCTTATTCCTCCTCTAACTGAAATGTTATAACTTTTGATCAACATCTCCTCTTTCCCATTTCATTGCTCACTCCACCCACCAGCTTCTGGTAACCACCAACCACATCCAGTGGACAGCAAGTTAAATAATAGGAAGTTAGAGAAAGCTGACAGTTACAAAGGATATGATGTTATTTAATTGTTCAGAATATACAAAATGTGTTTATTATAGGATACAGCCCCTTATGGAAAAATAAATGAGAGTGGGGAAATTTCAAAATCAGACAAAAGTAAAAAGTACTATGTTCACCAGAAGATGGAGAAGTCTGATAGGAAGACACTCAGAAAAGGTCAGTAAAAAACCTCTGAGAAAAAGAAAGTTGCAGGAAAGGTAAATCAATAATGCTGTTTGCTGAAATGCTACAAAATTATAGTACTTGTCTAAGGAAGTAGTTACTGGAAGCCATAGAGAGTGCACTTTCAGTATAGTTACAAGAAAAACCAAATTGCAGAGCTTAAGGGAATTGGTGAAGAACTGGTAGCAACAGATACAAAGATTTGACAGAACATCTAACTAAAGAAAAACTCTATTATGAATTGTATAAGTCATTGATGACTCAGAGCCAAGCAAGTTTATAATTACATTTTTGCTCAACTTCGATTTCTATGAAGAACATTTAAAATGAGTTCTGCTTTTTCATACAATTAGAATGTGGGCATTTTTCAATCGTTCTAAAATTTTCAGATTATTAGAACCACAAAGACAAGCATCCACCTTACCGGATATTATTGATTTTATATGCATTGCCTGGACTCTGAATTAGACCTTTTCTTTCTTTTCCCTGTCTCAGCAGGACAAATAAGAACATCTAGGCCAGGAGCGGTGGCTCACGCCTGAAATCCCAGTACTTTGGGAGGCTGAGGCGGGCGGATCACGAGGTCAGGAGATCGAGACCATCCTAGTTAACACGGTGAAACCCCATCTCTACTAAAAATACAAAAAATTAGCCGGGCGCGGTGGCGGGAGCCTGTGGTCCTAGCTACTCGGGAGCCCGAGGCAGGAGAATGGCGTGAACCAGGGAGGCGGAGCTTGCAGTGAGCCGAGATCGCGCCACTGCACTCCAGCCTGGGCACAGAGCGAGACTCCGTCAAAAAAAAGGAAGGGAGGAAGGGAGGAAGGGAAAGAAAGAAAGAAAGAAAGAGAGAGAGAGAGAGAGAGAGAGAGAGAGAGAGAGAGAGAGAGAGACAGAGAGAGAGACAGAGAAAGAGAGAAAGAGAGAAAGAAAGAAAGAACATCTGAGCACCAATACTGGGATATTGTAAGTTACCTCAGAAATAACATCCTTGGGTAAGGGGTGTGTGTGTGGTGGGGTGTGTGTGTGTGTGTGTGTGTGTGTGTGTGTGTGTGTGTGTGTTTTAGCAGAAAGAGAATCTTCTAAGTACAATGAAATGGGCTTCTATTTATCAGTACCTTTTTTCTTCTCTCTCTTTTAGTTCTGTTGCTTTCCAGGATATACACATGGCTTTAACAGAGTCTATTACTGGAATACGGAGAAGCTATTGAAGTAATCCTTCAAGGCATAAGGTCAGAACTTAGAGAAGTCACAGAGTTTGTATTTCTGAACCTGATTACCAGAAAATTCTTCTAAAGCAGGAAAAGATATATGCTTTCAAACTGTTATCCTACAACCAAATCCATTTTGGAGACACAAGGATCCACAAGATTACTCACCTTCAGGAAAACATGAAGACAAGAAATGCTAGTCTTGGTACAACCTAATGAAAAGACATAGCTGAGATTTCATATGAAGATAACATTGAGATTGCTTAGAAAAAAATTATTGGAGTTAACATTGAAAGTAACAATGGTATTTCTTGTCATCCCTTTCTAAATGGCATATATGGTATGTAATCTAGAAATATGTACATATACATGTAATAGCTTACAAAGCTTCCAATAAAAAAGACAAAATCTCTGGATTTTGCCATCTAACGAAAACAATGTAGTTACTATTAAAACTTGAATTTAACTTCTCAGAATAAACATACAGTCAAGGTTTTTGTTTATTTCTTTGTTTTTCCAACATGGTTGACTGACTTGGGATGCTAGTTCTCGGAAAGATCAAAGTTACAGGTGAATGGTAATGATCTGAATGAAACACAGTCAGATGAGAGCCAGGACCTGTCAGAGAACCCACAAGAAGAAGCTAGGGTACAGAAAAAGAAAGCAGGAAGAGTCTGGCAGAGATTGACCCCCAAGGAACTTAGAGACCCCAAAAAAGTATAGGTGGGGGTGCTTCTCTGTTCCCCTCACCCTGGCAACAACCTGCTAACCATCGAATTATTAGAGAGTCCTTCTACCCTCACAATCCTGGGCAATGATGTCCGTGGCAATTTGGAAAATTCCCAAAGACAGAAATCCATGTTGTTAACTCACACAGGGGTGCCCACACTCTTCTCAGGCCTGAACTGAGATGTCAAGTGCCGTACTAGTTGTGTACACATAGTGGGCCACTGCTGTGCCTGTAGAACCTCAGTCATTGAGTCACCACATCACAAGATCCCCTGCAAACATACCCCATAACCTGCTCTGACATCCACAATCAAAGGGAAACAGAGAGGATCCCTGAGGAACTGTGGATCCCTGGTAATCTAGCCCTCAGTGTGACCTACCCCTGGGGAATGGGGGTGCACAGACAGCCCTCCAAAGCCTGCCTTGAGAGAAAGGAAATGTAGTGTGACACAGATCACTGAAGGGAGTGGCACCGGCAGCCGGGAATGGATATGGAGAGGTAGTCATCTTCTGCTCCTCCCATCTACTCTTGCAGACACAGCAGAGGCTCTACCAGTTAAAGGCCAGCCCTTGTGAAATTGGTGTAAACTTTTCCAGTGGTTTTCACAACAGCTACACCTCCATTCAAAGTAAGCCCCTGCCACAGAGGCTTCCATGAAGAGTAAGACCCATCTCTCCCCTTCTATACAAAGAAATAGCATCCCAGCAACTGAAGGCAGACAAGCTACAAAGTTGTCTGTCATGAACTTGGGGAAGAGGATTTGCCCTGAGCCCATTTTGTTGGTAGCTGCCGGAGGGGCATACCCATGGTCTCCAGCTGCACTATGGCCAGGAGTCAAAGGACAATGTATATTTAAACTGAAGGTCATGAGCAAAATGCAACAGCGGCATGATAGGGAAGCAGATCACATTCCTGTCTGCCCAGGATGAGGACCTGGTATAGGCCTCCAACGCTCTTCCATTGAAACATTGCCACAGCCCAACAGGATCTCCACCAGCTACACCTGTCAGGGTGGGTGCCTCCAGTCATTACTGAGCTACCAGAGAATGAGCAGGCTCTTATGCTTAAGTGCCATCACTGGACTGGAGAGTAAAATAGAATACCTGTTCTCAGAAAGGCACAGGGCTAGTGAATAAGATAAGCTTCCTGAGACCTCTGTACTCTCAGCCTCGCAGGAGATAGTGTCAGCTGACACATCTAACACATCAAAACAACAGGCAACATTCAAGAAAACCACCATACAAAGATTACCCACAATCAAGGAACCCATAAAGAACTTTGGCACACTGAAAGCACCCCAAAACAAAGCATATCATACACATCATAACATAAATCACAGTAATCCTCTAAAGGAAAAATAAATGATAGAAAATTCAAAAATAAGAAGTGATATCTCCTTTAGATGAGAAAGAATCAATGCATGAACTCTAGCAGTACAAAAAGGTAGTAGAGTGTTTTGACATCTCTAAAGGATTGTACTTGCACTCTAACCATAGATTCTAACCAAAATGAAAATCCTGAAATGACAGATAAAGAATTCAAAATACAGAGTGCAAGGAATTTCAATCAGAAAAATGATGAAGGATATAAAAGGCAAAATAGCTATATTAGAAAATAGAACTTCATGTATTGAAAAAGTAACTAAAGGAATTTCAAAACATAGTTGAAAGCTTTAACAATACACTAGACCATTCAGAAGCCTGGTTTTTTTGAATTAACCCTGTCACACAAATATAAAGAAAAAATAATTTTTAAAAATGAACAAATCCTTCAAGAAATATTGGATAATGGAAAGCAACCAAACCTATACTTAGAGGAATTCTTGAGGAAGGAGAGAAAGAAAGAAACATGAAAAATATAATTGAGGAAATAATTGAGGAAAATTTTCCTCATCTTGTCAGAGAGGAGGACATCCAGATACAAACAATTTAGAGAATATCTGTAAGATATTATACAAATGAACATTACTAAGTCATAAATTTATCAGACTATCCAAGGTCAATACTAAAGAAAAAAATCTTAAACAGTAAGTATCAAACTATCTATAAAATGTAGTCCCATTAGACTAACAGTGGACTTCTCAGCAGCAACCTTACAAGCCAGAAGGAATTAGAGGTCTATTTTGAGCCTTCTTAAAGAAAATAATTTTATAATAAATGGCATCCAAAATTTTTATAACCTACTAAACTTAATTTCATAAACAAAGTAGAAAAAAAGTCATTCCCAGACAAGCAAGTGGTAAGGGAAATTTTCACCCATAGACTGGTCCTTCAAAAAATCCTTAAAGGACTTCTAAACATGCAAATGAAAGGACAATACTTGCTACCAGAAAAGCATATATAAGTACAAAGTTCACAGATCCCATAAAGCAATTACACAATTGAATATACAAAGTATCTAGCTAACAACAATATGACAGGAATAAAACCTCACATGTCAATATTAATCTTGAATGAAAATGGCCTAAATGCTCCACATAAAAGATATCATTTTGCAAATTGGATGAAAAAGCAAGACCCTACCATTTGCTGCCTTCAAGGGACTGACCTACTGTGTAATGATATCCACAGCCCCAAAGTAAAGGGTGGAGAATGATGTACTACACAAATAGAAAACAACAAAGATCAGGGGTGCTATTCTTGTATCAGATGAAACAGATATTAAATCAAGAAAGGTAAAAAAAAAGACAAAGAAAGATACAATTCAACAAGATTTAACTGTCCTAAATATATGCACCCAACACCATAGCACCCAGATTAATAAAAACAACTAGACCTAAGAAAAGAAACAAGTCATACAATAACAGCTGAAGTATTTAACAACTATTAGTTATATAATCTGTCTGGTGACAGCACCAGATAGATTATCAAGGCAAAAGAAAACCAACAAAGTAACTCCAGACTTAAATGGAACTCTTGATCAAATGGATGTAATAGACATCTACAGAACATACCATGCAACAACCACAGAGTATACATTTTTCACATCTGTGCATGGAACGTTCTCTAAAATTAACCAAATACTTGGACTTAAGGCAAGTCTCAATAATTTCAAAAAAATCAAAATTATGCCAGTTATCTTCTCAGATGACAGAGGAAATAACATTAGAAATATATATCAGCCGGGTGCAGTGGCTCATGCTGGTAATCCTAGCAGTTTGGGAGGCTGAGGTGGGTGGATCATTTGAGGTCAGGAGTTCAAGACCCACAAGGCCAACATGGTAAAACCCCATCTCTATTAAAAATACAAAAATTAGCTGGGTGTTAGTGGGGCATGCCTGTAATCCCAGCTACTCAGGAAACTGAGGCAGGAAAATCGCTTGAATCTGGGAGGCAGAGGTTGCAGTGAGCTGAGATAGCACCACTACACTTCAGTCTGGGTGACAGAGTAAGACCCTGTCTCAAAAAAAAAAAAAAATACATATCAGGAGAAACTCTCAAAACCACACAAGTACATGGAATCTGAACAACTTGCTACTGAATGATTTTAGGCTAAACAAGAAAATTAAGGCAGACATAAGAAAAAGTTGAAATAAATAAAAATAGAAATATAACTCACCAAAACTCTGGGATACAATGAAAGCAGTGTTAAGAGGAAAGTTTAAAGCACTAAATGCCTACATAAAAAGATAAAAATATCTTAAATTAATAATCCAATATCATACATCAAGGAACTAGGAACATAAGAACAAACCAAATGTAAAGCTAGAAGAAGAAATAACAAAAATCAGAGCAGAACTAAATGGAGTTGAGACTGTAAAAACCAAACAAGAGATTAACAAAGCAAAAGTTGTGTCTTTGAAAGGATAAATAAAATTGATAAGACTGCTATTTAAGTTAATTAAGGAACAAAAAGAGAAGATTCTAATACGCACAATCAGAAATAATAAAAATGTGGCATTACAACCGATACCACAGAAATACAAAATATATTCAGAGTAGTCTATGTAAATTCTCAGAGAGTAATCATGGTAGACTATGAATATCTCTGTGATCAAAAACGAGAAAACCTAGAAGAAATGAATAAATCCCTGGAAACATATAACCAGCCAAGATTGAACCAGGAGGAAATTGAAATCCTGAAGAGACATATAATGAGTTATGAAATTGAATTAGTAATAAAAAATCCATTTTCCAAAAAAAGCCAGGACCAAACAGATTAACAGCCAAACTTTACCAGACATAGAAAGAGCTAGTACCCATCTTGTATAAACTAATAAAAATATTAAGGAGGAATGACTCCTCTCTAACTCATTCTATGAAACCAGTATCATCCTGATACCAAAACCTAGCACTGAACACATACACACAAAGAAAACTACAGGCCAATATCCCTGATGAATAGACACAAAAATCTGCAACAAAATGCTAGTGAACCAAATCCAGCAGTTCATCAGAAAGATAATTTGTCACAGTCAAGTGGATTTTATTCCAGGGATGCACAAATAGTTAAACATATGCAAATCAATAAATGTGATTCACCACAGAAACAATTTTAAAAACAGTAGCCATATGATCATCTCAATACCTGCAGAAAAAACATTCAATAATATCCAATATGTCTGTATGATAAAAACCCTCAACAAACTAGGCATTGAAAAAAACATACTGCAAAATAATAAGAGCCGTCTATGACAAACCCACAACTAATATCATACTGAATGGGAACTGTAACAAGACAAGGATGGCCACTCTCAGCAATCAGGCAAGGAAAATAAATAAATGTCTTCCATATTGAAAAAGAGGAAGTCAAATTATCTCTGTTTGCTAATGACAATCTTACACCTAGACAACCTTGATATTTCCTCCAAAAGATTCTTTTACCTGATAAACTACTTCAGTAAGATTTCAGGATACAAAATAAATGCTTGAAAATCAGTTTCATTTACATAGATCGACAACACTCAAACTGAGAACCAAATAAAAATCTCAATTTCATTTATAATAGACACAAAAAATAAAATATCTAGAAATATATTTAACAAAGGAGACCAATGAGGTAAAAGATGTCCACAACAAGAACTATAAAACACTGCTGAAAGAAATACTACATGACAGAAGCAAGTGGAAAAATATCCCATGATCATTGTTTGGAAGAATCAACATCATTAAAATGACTGTACTGCCCAAAGCGAGCTACATAGTCAATATAATTTCTATCATAGTACCAAATTTATTACTCATAAAATTATAAAAAAAAATTCTAAAATACATATGGAACCAAAAAAAGAGCCTTAATAGCCAAAGCAATCCTAAGAAGAAAGATGAAGTTGGGGGCATCACATTATCTGACTTTATACTATAAGGCTATAATAAAAAACAAACAAAACTCAGCATGGCATTGGCATAAAGATGGACACATAGATCTATGGACACAATAGGGAAACTAGAAAATAAAATCACATGTGTATAACCACGGTTCTTCAACAAAGCTGACAAAATTAAACATTGGGGAAAGGTCACCCTATTCAATAAATGGTGCTAGGAAAACTTGCTTGCTAAATGCAGAAGAAAGAAACTTCACTCCTATCTCTCACCATATGCAAAAATTAACTCGATGAATTGAAAATTTAAATTTAAGACCTAAAACTATAGAGATCATAGAATAAAACCTAGGAAAACCTCTTTAGACATTGGCCTAGGCAAATAATTTATAAATAATACCTCAAAAGCAAATGCAACATAAACAAAAGTAGACAAATGGGACTTAATTAAGCCAAAGAGTTTCTGCACAGCAAAAGAAACAATTATTAGAATAAACAGACAACCTATAGTATGGGAGAAAATATTTGCAAGTAATATATCTGACAAAAGATTTATGTCCGAAATCTATAAGAAAAACAAATCAACAAGAACAAAACATATAACTCCATTAATAAGTGAGGAAAGAATGTAAACAGACACTTCCCAAAAGAAGAAATGGAAGTGACCAACAAACATATGAAAAAACATTCAACCTCACTAATCATTAGAGAAATGCAAGTTACAACAAAAATGAGACACCATTTCATCCCAGTCCATTTGTACTTTTTATTATCATATATATCCTCAAATTCAAAACAAAATAAACCACAACATAAACTGTGTTAGTATAGTACATTAAAGTCAGCTCCACTGTGCTGTATCACTTGGCAAGTCTGAAATTCCAATGGGCTTCAGAAAGTTGACTATGCAATGCCCAATAATGACCTGATAATCTCATATTAGAGGCAATGCAAATATATTTATAAGACTAAGAGCTACAACAAGCTTACGAAGAAAACCAATTTATAGCATTACAGGTTAAACCAGAAGTGATTTCCTCTGTTAACTAAAATTACATTACTAAAAAGTGCATGGTTCGTGGATGTCTAATGTGAAAAAAGACAGACAGTGAATACTTTCCTGCTCAGTGTGAACACTTAATAAGAATGAAAATAGAATGCCTTATTATATAAAGTAATACCAATACATTGATTTCCAATCTACTCCTCTGGCACAATTTAAAATGAGCTCTTGAACTATAGAGTCACAACTCTTTTTCATTTCAATGTGTTTTCCTTCAAAATAGCAGTTATTTATACATACTGCTTTTAAAAATCATTTTTAGGCTGCAGATTCACAATCTCCATAAATATCAAAGATGTGAAGTTAAGTTCAGATGCACTTGAAGTAAACACCATGCTAACTAGCAGCAGTGTTCAAGAGATCATGCTGCCGATCTTATGAAAGGGAATATACTATTGTGAATTATTTTGCAAATCCCAAAAGAAGTTTATCTCTCACATTATTGAAGACTGAGAATGTCTTAATATATGCACAACTTGAACATTGTTTGTGAAAAAGCCAGACTAATTCATCTATCTTCTGATCAATCAGTTTAGCCAAGCAAAGCACAAAATAAATGCACATCCTTTGCTGCCGTTAAGAGCAACCAGTTTGCTTGTCTGTGCATCATGAATGCCAAACAAATCTTGAATAAGAACGAGGAAAAGTTAAAAGAAAAGAAAGACAGGAAAGAAATAAAACTCAATTTTCTTGAATAGGAAATTTCTAGGGAGGAAACATTTTCCATTTTTGTCTTCTATCAAATTTATATATATATAAATATATATATAACATATTATATATATCCTAACTGTCATTATAGGCTATTCTAAGACAGATTCTGCCAATATTGAAATATCTAAGACAGGCACAATTGGGCCATTGCAAACATCATGTACTAAATGGATTCTAAGGAACCTGAAAATTAATGAATCTTTCTAAAATGACTGACTTACTGTTAGGGGAAAGCTTAAGAAATCAAATACCAAATCAAATACCAAAATACCAAATCTTTTTTCATTTTTCTATTCTTCCCAAAAAAAAAAAATAGTGGGGGATAAAATAACGCAATGCCCAGTTAAAGTGCCAACACCAAAACAACTTATGGCTGCTACTTCTGACCCTTTCAGGGGGTCAAATTTTGTTGTCTTTTGTATTTCTAGCTTTGTTTGAGACCTTTGTTTGCATATATTCAAAGGTTAGTAAATACAATTTAATATTGTTTCCACAGAAATTAAGCATTTACCTAGTTAGAATAAGCATTCAAACAGAGGTCTTGCATTAAATTTTGTACTAAACTGTATTCCTTCTACCATGCTGCAATCTTTATTAAGAAACAAAGGACATCTGATTTCACTTTTCTAAGCTTATTTTAGTTAAGGTTAATTATTACACAGAGATACTAACCTTTCAATCATAAACTACAAATTAGCATTATTCATCTCTGTGGTATATTTTCAATGTAATAATAAAAATCCTGGCTCGCTCTAAAGGTCAAGCTAAAAGCAACCTTACCATCATCATACTGGCCCAAGCAGATTTCAAAGAGAGAGCCCAGGATGATCCCTGAAGCTAAACATGTCCAGAGATAAAACTGTCGAAACATCTTCTGTCAAAGTTCACTCAAAGCTGATCTGAAATAAGAAAAGGTAGAAAGAAACATTTGACATGTTCATTAATCTGTTATAGGTAAACACAATTGTCACAGCACAGAAAAGCCTTAATGACTTCATAGTTAATTACCTGTGCCACATTATCCATTAACAAAGTAACACACTGGTTTAATGCACTGGAACTGTTTATCAACATAAATTTGCAGACAAGTAATCTCTAAGGAAAGACATCTTTTCTGTTATTTAATTTGCCAGCAAGTAGGTTGAGAAGTTAACATACTAATAATATCAGAAGCACACTCTTTAAAATTTAAGACATTATGGGTAAGTCCAATGTTAATCAGTTTAAGTTACTAAACTTATGTTGTCTACAGCATAATTTTACAACAAAGTGTAAGATAGTAAGCCAGTTGTTAGTATCCTACATGAGCATTTCAATGAAAATTTGTCTTATACAATTAAGTAGAAAAGCCCATCATTAAAATGTTAATTCCTTTCTAGTAGAGTGATCAGAGATTGACTTAACTATGCCAGGAAAGACTAAGGAAAATCTGTCAATTTTCACTACATCTGCTTTATGAAGCATTTGGATGCATTTCATTTTAATTCTCTTGTTTTACTTTTCAATCCCCAGCAAGTTAAAAAAAAAAAAAAAAGAAAGAAAACAACTGATTGAGAAATTAGTGGCCTGTGAGCACATGAGAATGTCTTATTGAAAGAATGACATCCTCAGTTTCTTTGTAAATTTAGGAAATTATCCACACAGAATTGTTCAAAATGCTCTTGATTATAAATTGTGGCAGACTAGGGATTGGAACACTGTTTCTCTAATTCAGAGGTTCCAAACTCAAATGCCTACAGAGGACAAGCAGACAAAGGAAAAGAATGAATTAGCCAAAGGGGACAATAGTGATGGTAGAGGCTGTGATAAACTGTGCAATGCAAGGTTTTCTAAAGAGACCAGCTGGTGCTCAACTTCTGTCAGTGGTTGTGATGTGGCAATGCAAGCCAGTGTTTCTGGGTCTTCTGATTTTCAAAGAGAAGGCAGAAATCCAAATTTTCATGTGATTTCCAAGTGTTTACATGATTGTGCAATCTTCTTTATAAGACTAAATGCTTCTAGCAGGTAATATTGATGTCTCAAGTTCTCCAGTTTTCTATTTCTGCCCAGGATTCTCTCTACTAGACTAGCTGAGGATAAGGTTTATCAGAGGGTACAAAGGCACGATTTTAATTCTGCTTTTGTCTACATTTTATTTTTGATTTATTGCCAAGTATTTAATAATGTTTATTTGTCCAGCAGCATGTATAAATATATATATTGCATTGTAAAATTGTATTAAAGGTGTAAGCTCTTTTTTTAAACTAATGGGATACACAGTTCTTGACTTTAAAAGATCACTGCTCTAGATCACACACATTTTAATATGAAGTCTATTCTTCTTTGTTTCTTTATCTAAGATATAAAAGGAGCTGCCTTCTTTTTAACTGGGCCTTCCACATTTTTTCCTAACTGGCAAAGTGCTTGGCGCGTGCATTTATAATTTCTAGGGACAGAAAGCCCAAAGAAGAGCTCATTATTAGATGCCAAGAGATCATCACAATCCACACTAACCTGTAGAAAAAAGAAAAATAAAATTGACCAATGCTACTGGTTGTGTAGAGCAGCGGATAAGAATGTGGCTTTTTTTTTAAATTCAAGCTTTTCAGCTTACTAGTTATATGACTTTGAAGAAATTAAATAGCATCTTTGTCTCACATTTCTCATTATCATAATGGATATAAAATAGTATTTACCTCATAAGATTGTCTTAAACATTAAATACGTAAGGGAATATAAATACGTGCTTAATGCAGTGTACTTACAGAATGAGTACCCCCTAAAGCTTAATATGAGTACCCCCTAAAGCTTAATATAAAAGACTCAGCATCTATGGAACCTCCAAAGTCTTAAATACAGATTTACTCAATCTATCTTTAGCAAGGGCTGGAAAGTAGATATTATTATCCCCATTTTGTGGAGGAAAGGTCAGGCTCAGAGAGAATAAGTGACTGGCTCAAGGTTATAAACTGGTGAGTGTCTGAAGAGACCATAAAGTCTGTGAGTAAGACACTTCTGCTCATTCCATTAGAGAAAAGTATTGGAAAAATTCCCAGAAAACACAGGGCTCAGAAGTTTTCAAGGCATATGGAGGCCCAGGAGAGCCTGCTGTATTGCTTCCCTTAAACTCTGAGAGAGACATTCTAACCCCCTTCACAAAGGATTAGAGCTCTACTAAGATTTCTATATACAATGGCTTCAAATCTTTTTTTATTTGGAAAAACAAACATGACATTAAGAAATAAAACAATGTTATTTAAATTTTAAAAATATAAAGAGAAACCATATACAAATACAAACCAGAAAGGATATATATTGGAAAACAAAATTAATACAAACCAGAAAAGATATGTATTAGAAAACAAAATTAAAGAGACGGTAATATCTTAGCAAAGGACAAAAGGACATAGTTGTGTTCCTGTGTGGGTCCTTGATCTGCCAGCTTGACTTCCTTTATAGTAGTTTATAGTATTATGCATTCACAAATTATGGCATATTCTTTTATTCCTAACTGAAGCTAATTTGGTTTCATGGAACAGTCTCCAATATAAAAACAACATGATGGATCATTATTTTAAAATCATTAATGTCACTGCCATTATTATGCCTCCAGAAACAAAACCTCTTGATCTATGGCTCTGCAAGTTTTTAGAGGATTATATGCATATTTCTGAAAGCATCACAGACAAAACTCATAAAAAATCTATTTAGAATAGATATAGCATTTACTGCCCAGAGGAAGGAGATAATTTTAGGGGAAATATTATACTTATTTGTCTTTGAATAATGATAATAATAACAATTTCTATAGTTTTTTTACTCTTTCATCTATATCTGCCTGATTTCCAAAGAAATTTTCATCACTTCAATGGGCTCAATATTTACAGAGACCTGAAAGAAAGCTATGACTCATCACATCAACCCGATACCCCAAAACACAGAACACATATTGACTTAGTGAGAAAACCCAGTTTCTAAACAAAGATATAATGAAAAGGTACCTCCCACAAAGAGATTGTGTAAATGACTACAGGACCAAGATGTTTAGTACAATATTGTGCCAATCAACTGACAGCCTATAGTGGCACTTCTGTGATTGTGATCAAATTAATTGGAAGAGATCAAATGCTTTAGACAAAAGACTGTTTTTGTTACTAGCTTTTTAATCTCTAGAATTAAAAGAGAAAGTCCTATAGGAGATGAATTCCATAATCTTGCTAAGTGACTGTAGGTAAATGAAAAGCCTGTCAAACAACACCTCTATGGTGGTACTTTACTTTTACTACAAATCCCACATCAAACTCTTTCCATGTTCCCCGAGTATATATTTTTCCTACAGAATTTATTGGCTAATAATGTTATGTTCTAAAAATCCAAAGCATGTTCAATTCTAAAAAGAATTGTAGGTGACCTATAAATAAATATGTTATACTTGTTTTTTAAGAGATAATTAAATTGGTGTATTCAGTACTCTAATATAGCTAATAAAGTTATCATTTTGCAATCGTGACTTAGAAATAGTATTCTGTTGTCAAAATACTGGGGAAAAGTGTTTTTTTCCTATTACAGTATAATATTACACGTAAGTGGTTTGCATTCCATGTGCATTTTATGACACAATTTCCTTAGGCTTAAGAATATTTTACTGCAATTATTCAAGACAAACATACTAATTTTGAATTTCACATCATTTGTATTTCCTGCAAGATAAATCTCATATTTATTTATCTGGCATTCAATGTTCTCAAAAATTAATTTATTCAACAAGTACTTATGGAGGGTCTACTAGATACCACTCACTCTTCTAGGCAGTTGGAAAATATCAGTGAACAAAGCTGACACATTTCTTTTCTCCCATGGATGTTATATTCCAGCAAAATAAAGATAGACCAATAACAAACATAAATAAGTTATATAAAATGTTAAAATGTAATAAGTGACATGAAAATAGCAGCTAGCATTTCAAAACTGTATATTGTCACTTTACAATAATTTTCATTCAGTAAATGAAGTGAGATTACACAAAGCAACCAAAATGCTATCCGATAAAATAACTGAATGAGAACTTTACAATGAAAGTATAACTATTCCGACAACCCTGACAGCATCCTTGATGGTATCTACTATTCTGAGTACAGATTTCTGTCCATCTCTTGGAAGGAGAATAAAGGTCTTTCACTGCCTTTCACTTTCAAATATAAATCCAAAGTCTGGAAATACACAAAGGTCTGTCCTTTTTCTGTTTATCCCTGCTCCCTGAGTCTTGGGTGTTTGCAGTGACACATGGCAAAAGCAGCCAAGGTTGACACCACAGCAGTTTTCTCTTAAATACAATTTTGACAATGTTAACTATTTTTTAGCCTATGTCTCTGACTGCTATGTGAATAAACACTAACTTTCTTGAGATACCAAAACTTGGAACACACCGTCATTACTTTGATGAGAAACCCCATACCAATACACAACCATGAAGCAAGCTGGAGTCTCACAGTGAAGTGAGCTGTATGTATGCAGTCTGCCCTTCAACAGTTGGTTCAGCCAAATTACTGTTATTCTTGATCTGTAACAATATCTAGATAAAGCTACAAAACTAAAACTTGTCACTGCTTTGTATTCCTTGTGAGAAACGTATGCTATCTACCTGCTGGAATAAAGCAAACTTCCCTTCAAAGCAACCTCAGCTTCAAACTAAAAACATGAGGTTTTCCAAAGTCACTGTATCTTACCATACTAAATATCAATTTGCTTAAATGACTAGAGAGAAACCTGTCTTCTACCTCAGCATGGTGGTAAATATTAATAATGTCTTCATCAGTACAGAGGGTACTTATCACCCTTCAGCATTACCAGATGAATCAGCTGTTCCTTTTTTAAAATGTGTAATATGAAGTTTAGGAAAATAAAATTTCAGAGAGCCTTTCAGATATATTCCTTCCTTCTAGATCATATTATATTTTTCTTTACTAAATATACATATGTATAAGTTTATATCATATATTCATCTATAAAAATATATTGATATTTATTGACAATTTTATAGTACATTTATACATATTTATATATAAAATTATGTTACATAGTCACATATACAATTTATATAAAGAAGTATATATTTTATTTAAATTTACATTAATGATAGGTAATATCAATGATATTGATATTATCGCCCACTTTTTTAAAGTTTGCAATTTAAATTCAAGGGGTTCCGTTGTAGCTAATTTGAGGTAAGTTTGGAAAGTAACTAATGTTTTTATAGGACACTGTGAGGTCCAACCTACCTCTCCCACCCGGTCCTGCTAAATTCGGCTTACTAGATCTTTGCTCGGGCTTACAGTTTTTTTTAACATGCTACTACATCTGAATGTGTCTTGACTACCAAATTTAAAATATGTGCTAATTTGGCCAGGCGCGGTGGATCACACCTGCAATCCTAGCACTTTGGGAGGTTGGGGAGCATAGATAACTCGAGATCAGGAGTTCCAGACCAGCCTGGCAAACTTGGTGAAACCCCATCTCTACTAAAAATATAAAATATTAGCTGGGTGTGGTGGTGCACACCTGTAATCTCAGTTACTCAGGAGGCTGAGGTAGAAGAATCGCTTGAACCCAGGAAGCAGAGGTTGCAGTGGGTTGAGATTGCACCACTGCACTTCAGCCTGAGCGACAGAGCAAGACAGATTCCATTTCAAATAAAAAGAAAATGTTAATTTGCTTTTTGGGTGCACTCTGTCTCAACATATAGATTCATCCTAAACATTGTGGGATAAAATAAAATTGATGAAAATCATTTTTAAAATTAAGAATATAAATTATTAAGAACTAATCTTGCTATCACTTCAATCATTTACAAGGTCTTTCATTTCAGTTTTAAACATTTTAAATATATAATCAACAGTTGTAAACATTAGATGAGACTAATTTAACCCAAAATATATTTCCCGAAACCACATGAAACACATAAGGTAAGTCCAAGCTCTGGCATTCTTATACTACAGCTATGGTGAATTCTTGGAGAATTCAAATCAGTGTCTTAACATGTCTGTTGAGTCTATTCATTATTAAATTCTGGTTTTAATAATAGAACTTTAAATAAAAGAGGGAAGAACACTGGTTTTCTTTTTGGGGAATACTACTTCTCAAGAAAATAAATGACTGACCAATATAATTAATCTGCTTATGTTTAAAGATTGTGTCTTCATGGAAAAAAACTAATATTCAGTTTAGTCTATAATAGATACATGCCAAATGTTATAATAATGTAGTCATACTAGTTGGTTTAATAAAATATAAATACACCAAAAATGTTTTTAAATGAGTGGAAATTTAATCTCCATGTTTACTATTGCTATTATATTGGATATTTTCTTAGTGTTTATACATACATTTACTCAATTAGTATTTATTTTATATTTAGTGCATATCAGACACTAAGCTTCTACTATAGAAATAAATTATTCCATTTCCTCACAATGACTTTGCTATTGAGCATGCACTACATTTCATATTTTTTTACCTAATATACATTTCAAGGTACTTTAGTAAAATAACTCCAAATTAGGAGATAAATAAGTTTTAATTGCCAATTTTTTTGAGGTTTCCATTCCATCTATGTTTTCAGAACCTTCATCTAAATCTCAGTCTTTTAGATAAATACATTTCTCACTATTTGTTAGAAAAGTCATGGGAAAAAGCTTAGTTTGAAAGGAGCAAGCAAAGGGAAATATAAAAAGAGAAGCCCAAACATTATTTCATCAGTGGAGTGTTTAGCTTAAAAATATAACCAAGTAAATTTAAAATGGAGTTTTAATGCTCAAGCAAACGCATGCATCATTTTAAAAAAGAAGCTTGAAAGAGAGTTCTGTGCAGTGTTATTACCTGGCACAGAAAAATGATTCTGATTAATATTCTTGTTTGATGAATATTATAGATTCTAAGAAACACAAATAAATTAATGAGTAAATGAGTATTTTCCTAAGGCAAATCCATCAGCAAAAAAAATCCAAAAGTATTAAGTCAGTCAACAGAGACTAAACGTAAAAGTATGAAAATGTCAGTGACTTGTATAATGTAATATAATAAAAGTCCTGGCTCTGGCATGAGAGAGTCTTGCATTGCATTCCTAGTTATGTTGCTTTTGGAGGGCTATATAAGGGTAAACTAGTTAAAACTTGTGAGAATCAGTTTAAAATTAGGACAATAAAATCCATTTTATTCTTCTGTAATTGACAGATGAAAATTTGAACAAAAAATAAAAGTTAAGAATATTCATTTGTTCATTTATAGCATAAGTGTTTACTGAGCACTGATTCTGGATAATGCACTTTATAAGATGCAGTGGCTACAGCTTTATGAGAAAAACTAAATGAATTAATAATAAATACATAATAGTCCATATAGAGTTTTCAGTCTAACAGAGTGTGACAGTCACACCTAAAGTAGCTCATAATGAATCAAATCCTCGTATAATACTATTCTATAGATCAGGGGTTCAGTACTGGTCCATGGCCTGTTAGGAACCAGGCCACAGAGCAGGAGGTGAGTGGTGGGTGAGCAAGCAAAGTTTCATCTGTATTTACAGCCCCTCCCCATCATTCGCATTACCGCCTGAGCTCCGCCTCCTGTCAGATCAGCAGCAGCATTGGATTCTCATAGGAGGGCAATCTCTATTGTGAACTGCACATACAAGGGTTCCAGGTTGCATGTTCCTTACGAGAATCTAATGTCTGATGATTGATCTGTCATTGTCTCTCATTATTCCCAGATGGGATCATCTAGTTGCAAGAAAACAAGTTCAGAGCTCCCACTGATTTTACATTATGGTGAGTTGTATGATTATATCATTATATATTATAATATAATAATAATAGAAATAGAGTGTATAATAAATGGAATGCACCTAAATCATCCCAAACCACTCTCCTGCTCCCAGCCCCAGGTCGGTGGAAATTTATTTTTCATGAAACCAGTCCCTGGTGCCACAAACTTGGGGACCATTGCCATAGATAGTGGAATCTATGACTTGCTTCTAATGTGTAGAATATGATAAAGGTAACAAGATATCACTTTATTGTTTCAATTAAGTTATATAAGATTCAGTCTTAGCACATTGGAGAAAGATAAATCTTCCTGCTCTGTGTAAAGAAGCAAACGTATTGTAAACTGCCTTTGGAGAAGGACATATGCCAGGGAACTCCAGGTGACTTCTTGGACCAGAGGATGGCCTCCAGACAACAGCCCTCAGTCATATAACCAAAAAGAAATGAATTCTGCCAACAATCTAAATGAGCTTTGTAAAACAATTGCATTCCATATTGTTAATTATATTTTGAAAAGAAATGTAATTTAAATACTAAATAATGAGATTTTATTTTATATATGATCAATTATATACAATAAATTATTTTCTTATAAATCTAGTTACAACTTTTCTGTTTCTTATATTGAACAAATTTTGAGCTATAACTCAGTCATATTACTTTACTTGCTTTTGCCATTACCATAGCTTGGTAGGAAATAAGGTTTTAAATAATAGTCTTTTAAGTAGGTGACAGATTTAGAATAAAAGATTCATAACAGTTCTAATTTTAAAAAATGACTTCACATGTTTAATGACATAGCAAACAGGTAGTATCTACATTCCTAATTTTTTTTCTTAAATCTGCTTGCATTTAAACAATGTAAAATTAATTGGTAAAGCATGTCATTTAAAAAAAAAATTAAATTAAAGTTCTGGGATACATGTCCAGAATGTGTAGGTTTGTTACGTGGGTATACACGTGCCATGGTGGTTTGCTGCACCGACCAACCCGTCATCTACATTAGGTATTTCTCCTAATGCTATCCCTCCCCTAACCTCCCCACCCCCGCGACAGGCCCCAGTGTGTGATGTTCCCCTCTCTGTGTCCATGTGTTTTCATTGTTCAGCTCCCACTTACGAGTGAGAATATGCGGTGCTTGGTTTTTCTGTTCTTGTGTTAGTTTGCTGAAAATGATGGTTTCCAGCTTCATCCAAGCATGTCATTTTTATTAGATATAGTTGGTAATAGAAGGAAACATATAACTTTTTTTTGTTGTTTGTTTGTTTTGAGATGGAGTTTTGCTCTTGTTGCCCAGGCTGGAGTGCAATGGCATGATCTCGGCTCACTGCGACCTCCTCCTCCTGGGTTCAAGCGATTTTCCTGCCTCAGCCTCCCGAGTAGCTGGGATTATAGGCATGTGCCACCACGCACGGCTAATTTTGTATTTTTAATAGAGACAGGGTTTCTCCGTGTTGGTCAGGCTGGTCTGGAACTCCCGACCTCAGATGATCTGCCCTCCTTGGCCTCCCAAAGTGCTAGGATTACAGGTGTGAGCCACTGTGCCCGGCCAACATATAACTTTTAATAGTTATTTAAATATTAATATGTATGTAATGGATACTAGAGTAAATACTGATTGGGAAATACAAACTGTCATTAATAAAATATTTGTTTTCTATATAGCTTTAATATGTACTTTTTAACATGTACTTACAACATTTATTTAACACGAATAGAGTAGAAAATGTGTACTTTAATACTTTGCCAGGTGACATGTTTAAGTAGAATGAATAAAACTAGGTTTATCCTCCATTGCCCCTCTTCTTATCAGAGGGGTCATATTTCATATGTCATATCTTTTCTACACTTTATTTTCTACTTCACATTATATGAAGTCTAACCAGAGATCATAAAGTTTCATACTATATCAATGCAGAGGCAGAATCAACATTCTATACATATAACTTTTTACTTTCTTTGCAGGATTTTTTAGGTAAGGTCTTCGGCCAACTGAACTGCAACTGTTTCATTTACAATAATTTTAAAACAGTAAAATTCTCTCAAGAACTAAGTTTGTACATTTGATGTTGATAAAAATAATGCTAATGGTGAATATTTTTTGAGTATGATAGATGTTGATATTATTGAAATCATTAGATATGCTTTAATAACTTTAAAACCAAATGGTAGACTGTTCCATTTCATTTCTCTTTGTACTTTACCAATTTATACTATGAAAATCATGTATGAAATGTATAGTCTAGAACGTTTGCAGAAATATCATCTCAAAAACAGTAACTCAAAGTCTAATACAGAAAGACATCCATATAAGGAAGCATTTCACAAATATTTCTAAGCTTTGATTTGATATATATTAAGCTTTTACCATTTATCTTATAAATCTACATGGTTAAAGAAATGATCAACCTTCTCAACTGGCACAATGTGAAGATGGATAATTTGACTTAGAAAAATAACTAATTGTGTAGTCATGTAAGCCCTTCATTTATGACACAAATCCATAAAGGTCACTGTCATATTTCTTAGAGACTGGATTTTAATGTAAAGCTGAGTTTTATTTTTCTAGGAAACTGTAACTTTTATTGAAAATAGTTCATGTATAAGCAGATTTATGGAATTCAAACTCATGTTGTCCAAGGGTCAATTGTGTGTAATTTTATAATTGTAAAACTCTGTCTTATCTGTAAATGATAAGATATTACAATTAGTTGGTTCTTTATGTTTGAGGGGCAAATAAAATTTGAATAAGTTGTCTTACTCACAAAGACTATGCTTCACGAATAATACACTAAGAACTTTAGTCTCTTCCTACAAATACCTAATTTTATAGTGTATCCTGGCATTTCAAAATTACCAAACTGAAAAGTAGTCGTTCTCTCTCTTAGTGTCAATGCTAATTGTATGGTACGTTCATTACTAGAGTACATTTTTTCTAACTTAAATTTTTAAATTTATTACATTAAATATTAGATTATGCTATTATATAGTAAATTCAAACTGCCTGTATAATATTGTATCCTATTAAAATGATACAGACATTAAATTTTATGGGCATTCTAATGATTGTTTTCCATTTTTCCATACTTTTAAAATAAGTTGTTATATGTCCCTTGGGGATGGGGATTATTTTAGGAATACTTTACTACTTATTAATTTTCCAAAAGTCAATAATGAAAAATATTTACTTCCCAACACACCCTGGCAAGATATTTTATAAGTGAAAGACATAATTTCATTCTGACCTTTTTAATTCTAAGGCCTTTTCATGTTGTTTTTTTTTTTTTTTTCAATCTGATCTAATTTTTAACTCTCTCTATTTATTACCATAACCAAATTTCATTTTACTTTATTTTTAGCTAGTTATTTCTGCCTAGGCATTTTCTCCTTTTTCATATTTCGACCTAAGAATTTGTTCCTCATGTAAGACTTCTCTGACAAGTCACTTCCTCCCCCAAGTATAGGTCAAATATTTTGCGATAATCCTTAGCCTTTCCTTTGTATTCAGCGAACACATCTCAGTTTATAATTACATTGCTTGTCAGTGGGTACTTTGGCAATATTTGTGTTTCACTTTATGCCCCTGAGAAGAGGAATCATTATTAGCCAAGCTCCTATCCCAGCTTTTTATCCCGGAGCCCAGCAAATAGCTTAGCCCAGATTAGCATTGATGTTTTGAATGAATGAATTTTAAAAAGAAACGTATCATTTTCACAAAATGTCCTGTTATTTACATTAAAGCTAATTTGTTCTTGTCAAATCTGTATTATATATGAAATTTAGTTTTAACACTTATTCCTGCAGCATTTGCTGAATATGCAAGGATCGATAATTGATAAATTCTAAGGAAGTTCTATTTCCTTTAAGACACATTTAAGGTATTGTTGGAGAAAGGGCTATGAATATTGTAAATTCTCACAGAGAGTATGGAGATGTTTGTACATAAATATATACTTATTATAAAATAATATTTTAAATCGTCGAACTTAGATAAAATATATGCTTATAAAATATAAGAATAAAATTCTAATATACTTGGAAAATAAGAACCAAATCTCAGCCTGTAAGTTAAAACTTATGGTTTATATACAACAAAAACTACTGGGGCTGTTTTTATTTCTGTGACCCAATTAAACTAATCTTTTCTCAAATTTCATCCCTATGTCTGAGTATACTAATATTGGCAAAGCCCTCTCTATCCTAAAATAATGTCTATTTTAATATGTCTTCATAGAAAAGTCATTAAAAAGCAGTGAACATAGCCACTAAGTATGATTTTAATATTTTTGTTGAAATGACTAAATTAATAGAAAGTGACAAAAAGTACCTTAAGAAGAATTTTAAAAAACAAAAACAAAAGATTGAACAAAGCATATGTGGAAATATAAATTATAATTTTCTTCCACTTTATTAACACTCTTGTCTAATTAGACAATAATTACTTTAAAAACTAACACTTTCCCCTTAGAATTACTGCTGAAGTTGAAAGGTTCAAGTTTTTAATTACTGCTCATAAAGCATGCAGTGAAACTTTCTAAACTATGAAAAGTCTACTATCTTACGATTCAGCAAGATATTTATCTTATAAAAACATCATTAATAAGTACAAAATCTCATTTAAATTAACAGCAAGAAACTTTCATTTTCCTTTCCAGTGTCAGAGATGGGTGAAATAAATCAAAATCAAGGATCTTTTGTGGATGAAAGGAAGTAGAAATCTTAAGACTAGAAACTCACTAATGTGATGCCCATGGGCAAAGATGAAATCAGATATTACAGATGATTTTGAAGTTGCAGTTTTAATAATGATAAAGGTATAGTGAAAGGGAGAATTGAAGCAGAAATGAATTTCATACTGTTGCCCACACCAATCAACTCATCATGCATTTCAAAAGTATATTCCGGCACAACATGGTGGCTCACACATGTAATCCTAGCACTTTGGGAGGTCAACATAAAAGAATGGATTGAGGTCAGGAGTTCAAAGCCAGCCTGGGCAAAGTAGCAAGACCCAGTCTCTGCAGAATAGACAAAATAAAAAAATTAGCCGGGAGTAAGGGCACACACCTGAAGTCCTACCACTCTCCAGAGGCTGATGGGGGAGGATGGTTTGAGCCCAGGAGTTCAAGGTTACAGTGAGATATGATCGTGTTACTGCAGGGACAGATTGAGAGCCCAAAAACAAACAAAACAAATAAACAAAAAAGTATATTCCACTAATACCTTGTAAATGGGGGTGTATGAAGTTTTTTTAAATCAGATATAATGATAATAGCGTGTGTGCATGGCAGTGTGTGTGTGCGTGCGTGTCAGGTTGCATATATTAAGTGTAAACACCACAGTTATTTCAGGAAGGGATCATAAATGCATAAGAATCTAAGTGTCCATAAAATACCGTAAATAAATAATTAAAGCTGATTGAGAAATAATGGGGGCTCTGGAGACTGTGCAGAATTTAAACTTAGCAACTTTGCAGAAGTCTACGTCTATTTTTTCCATCTTCCAATTTTTTAGGTAACATTGAGTGTCTGGATTTTCATATGCAATTATGCAATTTATTTTAATTAAACTATTTTCTAGTGTATAGTGTGGCCAAGGAAACGCAGCTTTATGTGCCATCCAGACCATGTTGCAATAGTTTAAAGCCTTGGGCTTAAGGATCTGTTAGTAACATGACATTTGTATGATCAGAGCTATCTCTCCATACGCATTTAGGACCACTGTACTATCATCACGTCCAAAACTTCCTTTCATAATCACAATCTTTGAAAATTCTCACACTTTAGAGTATCTTCCTGCCTAGAAAAATCTATCACAGTAATATATGCACTCACCATAAAGATAATGTACCAGGATGCTGAGGATATACTAGGTGGAAATTTTAGAACTGCTGTTGTTCAGGATTTTCTCAAAAGAGAAATATTCAGAAATATCAGGTAGTTACTTTACAAAGTAACATATATAAATATATGTATATACACACACACATATATTTATATATGCACAAAGGGTTTCTTAAATGCACATGTACCTTTAAAGTAAGAATGCATTTTGGGCATAGTCATCACCAACACAAAGTTCATTCTTGCCTCATGTATTGATTTATGCTTTAAATTTTGTAATCATGTGAGCAATCTTTAAAATGATACCAGATTCCCAGGTTAAAGTCATTTGGATGACATTTATTTATGTTTTTTGTACTATTTTGAGTTTGAGGGATGGTGTTAGAAAATCTTGTAAACTAGCTTTTGGTATTTTCTGATTATTATTTTTTATTTTTTGGTGAGCAACACTAAGACTGGCATTTCAACTTCCAATGAGGGTCCTTATATAATACTCAGTTAAGCATATTACTGCTAAATTCAAACAAATTTTAAAAACAAAAAAAGATATAAATGATTGAAAGCATGACAAACGTTCCCTGTAGATGTTTTCTAATTTTTAATACATTGAATTAAAAATATGCCTTTCCAAGTGAATTTTAGATATTGGTTACCACCTTCAAGATCATCATTTATGTATTTGTGAAGGTGAAAGTAGGAGGCATACATAATATTATATCTGTAATAAATGTAACTTTTTAAAGTAACATAACATCTATATATGGCAGGAAATAATAATGATACAACATTAAATAGATATAGACCTGATGATATAGTTGGAATTCTCCAAACTCTTGCATAACACTTATGTAATCAATGTGAATTTAAAAACATACAATTGGCCGGGCGCGGTGGCTCACGCCTGTAATCCCAGCACTTTGGGAGGCCGAGGCGGGCGGATCACGAGGTCAGGAGATCGAGACCATCTTGGCTAACACGGTGAAACCCCGTTTCTACTAAAAATACAAAAAATTAGCCGGGCGTGTTGGCGGGCGCCTGTAGTCCCAGCTACTTGGGAGGCTGAGGCAGGAGAATGGCGTGAACCCAGGAGGCGGAGCTTGCAGTGAGCCGAGATTGCGCCACCGCACTCCAACCTGGGAGACACAGCGAGACTCCGTCTCAAAAAAAAAAAAAAAAAAAAAACATACAATTGACAATAATATATGTGATATAGTAGATTGTCCAATATTTTGTTGGTCTAAACTACAAAATTTGCCCTGATGATTGGTGTATTGAAGAGAAAAACAATTATTTGTATCTCATGATACTTATCGAAAGAGTTTGTAGACAAATAAAAAACACACTAGCAAAACACACTCTGTTTCATGTTAATTAAAGGGAGAAATACTGTTCACAGAAATTAGCTTCCAAAAATCATTCTTCGTGAAAACACATAAGTAAACTAATTTTAATACTCTCAGTTATAACTAAAATGGTATCATCCACTATCTTCCACTAACTAAGTATTAAATACAGAGCATAAGCTATTCCAACTGACATATTAAACAACTTTAAGTATGGCTTATGTCTATAATTTTCTTGTAATCTCATTCTGAATGGAGCTTTCTTGAGCAACAGTAATTACAGAGGAGTTAAGAGTCTGGAAATAGTTATTTGTTTATAGAAAGAAAAACTAATAAGAGAATGAACATACTTAGTCTAATTAGAAAAGTTTTGTTTAAACTACCATTAGAAGTAAAATAATGCCACAAACTGAAATGAATCCCTGGATATTCTTAAAACATTATTGTTACTTTAGTTTCTTAAAAACAAATTAAGCAGACACTCATTTTTTCCAATAGCTTGTAAACTTTTGAATCTTGGGTATAATTTTAATTCTTGAGAGTGTCACATATTTGATAAAGAATGTTTGTCTAAGATTTCTATGCATATGTGTATTTGAGTATATGCTATATTAACATATGTGTATTAGACTGCCAAGATAAAATATAACTAATCAAAGCATTTATTATTTAACTTTGATTAAATCTATTAGCTTCTTTACAGATTTTGCTCATTTGTAAGAGGAGGTTAGGTTTCTTCCCCCAGGATAAAAGGGATGAGTTATCTGTTTCTCTTGGGACAGATGTACTGTGGTAAATGCAGTGATAAGAGATAAATGAAAATAAAGAGAAGCCCCTAACCAAACAGAAATGAAAAGAACAATAATAGAAAAGAGTGTCTGGGGACAGTGTTCGAGGTTACTTTTTCTTTTTTCTAAAATGATTTTTTGCAATTCATGAAAACAAGCCTGAAGCGTAAACTTGTCATCTCATTTTAAGATGCATTTCTCCTAATATTAGGTATTAAAATATAATGATCAGGCATATTTTTAAGACTCTTTTCACCTTGTTTGAAATGTATTGCTTCACAAAGTCTTTGTGGAGCTTTCTTTTTTTTTAAGAAAAGAAGAAATAATACAAATATAGTTTAGGTTGTGTTAATGCTTGAAGAAAGGTGTAAAGGGAGTGATATGCTTTGGTTGTGTCCCCACCCAAATCTCACCTTGAATTGTAATAATCCCCATGTGTCAAGGGTGGGGCCAGGTGAAGATAATTGAATCACGGGGCATTTTCCCCCATACTGTTCTTGTGATAGTGAATAAGTCTCATGAGATCTGGTTCTATAAATGGGAGTTCCCCTGCACAAGCTCTCTTGCCTGCTGCCATGTAAGACATCACTTTGCTGCTCCTTCACCTTCTGCCATGATTGTGAGGCCTCCCCAGCCATGTGGAACTGTGAGTCAATTAAACCTCTTTCCTTTATACATTATCCAGTCTTGGGTATGTCTTTATTAGCAGCCTGAGAACAACTAATACAGAGAGAGAAAGAAGGTTGGAGTAGGGAGAAGATTGCTAGGGTATTAAAGGAAAGCCCTCTGAAAATGACACTTGAGCTGAGACCTGAATAAACTAAGGGATATTTTAGAGAATCCCATAACAGGGAAGCAGGCATACCACTTTCAATGGCTCTGAGTGGGGAGCATGCCAGCCATGGATGAGAAACAGCAAATAGGCCAGATTAATAAGAGGGAGGGAGTAGTACTAGAGATGAGAGACGTAGCCAACAAGAAACTGAGAGAATGGAGGTGCCACTTACTGGAATGTGATCCTCCCTATTGGGGAGCGGCAGGTTTGGAGTAGAAATCAAGAGTTTGGCTTTGATTGCTCAAATAAAGTTTGAAATATCTATTAAACTACCAAATACAGATGTCCCATAGATTGATATGAATGAATCTGAAAGTCAGGGTAGACAAAAAATTGCCAGTCATGAAATGAACATGGCACTAACATAGGCTATCTACGGAGGATGTACAAAGAGAGAAAAAATCAGGACTTGCAAATATTTAGAGGTCAGAAAAATAAAGGGTATGTGGCTAAAGAGATAAGAAGGAGTGAGAGGGAATGCCTGAAGCCAAATGAAGAAAGGATTTCAAACAGGAGAGAATGCTAATATGTTGAGTGCCACTAATAGGTTGAGGAAGATAAGGATTGAGGATTAACTCTTGTGTATTTGCAAAACAGAAGTCACTGATGCCCTTGAGAAGAGTGGTTTTAGTGGAGGAGTGGGAACAAAAGCCTGACTAGAGGTTTTCAAGAAAATAGAGTTCATATAATTTGTTAGTGTTTTTTTTTACTGTGCAAGTGAGCAACCAAATGCGGAGATAGGAAGACAGTGGGGACAATGAGTCCATGAACTTGGCACATGTGTGCACTTGTGTTAAAGATAGAGCTATTACCAATGAAAATAATCTATTAAAAAGTACAGTGCAGACAAAACAGGAGAGAGAATGGACACACCTGCACAGTAAGAGAAAAGTCCTTTCTTAGGTTGGTAGAGGAAATTAGATCCTCCAGACAGTGGTAATTAACCAGAGAGAAGGTCCAGGATAGGTGGAAGTTTGCGGATGAGAAAGATGTATCGGAGCTTTGAGGATAAAGAGAATGTATGAAGGATTCCTTTGAAAAGTAATAGTGTGAATTAAGTGGCAAAATGGCATACAGTTATACAGTTATTGCATAGGGATGATGGACCACTTGATGTTTGTTTTTTCTTTTATTTTCCAGCCACATGAAGCTGTTGGCATGTAGGATTAGAGTAGACAAACTACTATTTTTATTTTTTTTATGTTTAGTTTTCTTTATAATACACTTCTTCAAGTTTACCAATTAAAATATTTTGAATCTCATAATTAAGTCTTAAATATACGTGTTCATGGGTGGTAATTACTTAAAACACTTGGATAGTAGCAAGCAATGAAACTTCTCTTTCTCTTCTGTTGTATTCACCACCACTTTAGCCTGAATAACTGAGCAAATACCAGGTTCTTGGAACACTGGCATAAACTATGTATCTAGGACTATGGCTCTGTCCATCAGCACAAGCCACTAGTAATTCAGAAATTGGTCATTTATATAATGGCATTTATTGCATCTTTACCACGAACAATATGATTTTTTAAACATGGTTTAAACTATATTATACAAATAATTCAGCTGTGTTTGATACTTCTTATATGTAAGAATCACTTTCCTTTTTATAGGTTACTTTTCCTCTTTTTATAATATCTGAAATTTAAGGATGCTGTCTCAGAGAGCCCTTTATTTATGCAGGCAAGATAAGAATCTATCTGAGATACTCTCACATTCTTAAAAACTAAATAGCTACCCATGTGTGTGTGCATAGTGATGTCAGAAGTTCTTAACTGAGTCGTAAATTCCAAAGAATCTTAGCTAAAATGAAGCTCATATCTTGCTAATTCTTCTCTGTTAACCCATAAGAAAACAGAAGCCCAGAGAAATTAAAAGATTTGTTCAAGATTTGCTTGATAGCATACTAAGGTGGATTTAGGACTTTGGGCTCTGAATTGCTTAATATGGAAGTGTTGCTCAGGGAAAAGCCCAAACCCCAGCATTACACAATAAATCCATGCAACAAATTTATACATGCAGCCTCTGAATCTATAATTTAAAAATGTGCAAAACCAAGCATCTTTGAGGAACAAAATTCTGAGATATTATAAGACTTTGAAAGTCATATTAGGCTTTGCTATTGTTCAGATTTTTTAAATATTTTTAATTTTTTTCATTTAAATTTTAAGATTTTGTTGTGGTAAAATGTACATAACATATAATGTACCATTTTAGCCATTTTAAGTTTACAGTTTAGTGGCTTTAAGGACATTCACATTGTTGTGTAGCCATCACCACCATCCATCTTCAGAACTTTTCATCGTTACAAACTGGAACTCTATCCATTAAATAGGTGCTCCCCATTAAGCCCTGCTCCCCGCCCCTGGTAACCATTATTCTATGTTATTTCTCTATTAATTTGACTATTCTGGGTATGGTATATTTGTGAAATGATATGAAATTTGTGCTTTCAATGGACAAGCATTTGAGGGGATTCAAAATTGAATTATTTTATCACGTTTCAGATGGAACTACAATTATTGAGCATCACCATTTTAGACATTTTACTAGGAACCTTAAATACATGTTTTATTTTAAATTCTGGATCAAAATTCTGAACTAATTGATTTCATTTCTTTATAAATTGGACAGAAGCTGAGCATGAGAGGTTAGGTAGCCCTCTCAAAGTCAAACATTAGAGGCAAGACTAGAAGTGGAATCTTCAAACCCATGTCCATTAACATTTCACAGAACTTTGAAGTACATTATGCTTGCAGTGATTAAAGCTTGCGATCAAGTGTCTGACTAACCTGAGTTGCAATCCTGACTCTGCCTCTTACATGCTACAATATTTTGGGCAGTTTTCTGAACTTTTCAAACCCTCAGTTTTTCCTTTGCAAAATGTTAAAATGATAGTTTGAAAATCATCTAGAAAGGGTGTTGATTATAGCATAGCACAAGACAGAAACTTTTCCATATCATAAAGAAAAAAATATAGGCTTTTTGAGATACTAAGAAGATTATCATTTATATCTGAAAGGGAATTCAGATTGCTTAGGGAAATTATACCTAAGATGAGACTCACAATGGCAGATAATAATAAAATAGCGATATTTTTCACATATTAAAATGCATGTGTTATTGTATATAACAATTATATATTTAAAAATTGTCCTTCAGATATACTCAAACACGTCTTCAAATACCTTCATATAAGGATATTTACTGAAGTATGATTTGTAATACGAAGAGGTTGTAAACAATTAGAATGTACAGCAATAAAGGATACAATAGGTTAAAGAAAAAATGTATTGTAGGTATAGAATATTTGCTATGTACCTAATTTTTTAAAATCATATTTATAAACTAAAATAGATACTCTAGGATATGTCAAGGAGCTAAGGAAATCATTTAGTTTACTATTTGGATGTTTACACTGAATCTTCAAAGTGTTACATTTTCTTAAAAGAAAATGTTAAAGCATATGTGGCATTTAGTCAAATGTATATGAATATGTATTTATGGCCTCTTTATGTAAATGCATATATGAGATGTTCTTGAAGTAAAAAATAATTCTGTGTTTTTTTCTCTTGACACAAGTTGAAGCTATTACAAAAGCTAATTATTTAATTAAAATAACACTGGAAAAAATGTTTTAAATTTCATTTGTTAAGCTAGAAAATATTTAAGAAGGGAGGAAATAATTTAGATCAATACCATGTGTATATTTAAATCAGATTTTCAAAGTTTGACCTTTTTACAGAAAATCTAACAGCAACAATCATTTCCAGCGTTACTCCAGGTCAAATCATTTGATAGTGTTATTTCCTATAGTAGTGTGTATTAGAATAGAATGTCTGAAAACTTAGGCTACACTAAATTTATAAAATGCATTTTTTAAATAGTAAACTAACTTTAGCTTACTGTTGTTTTTAATAAAATTTTTAATTTTTAACTTTTTTAGCTTTTTGACTCTTGAACACATGGTATAGCCATACAACATAGTTTCTTTCTTTATATTTTTATTCTATAACCTTTTTCTATTTTAAAAATTATTAATTTAATTTTTACTTTTAAAGCATTTTTTAAACCTAGACCCAAAAATACACATTAGCCTAGGCCTACACCGGGTCAAGATAATCAATATCCCTGTCTTCCTCCTCCATATCTTGTCCCAGTACAAGACTCTGAGAGGCAATAACATGCACGGAGCTGTCATCTCCTATGATAATAATGCCTTCTTCTGGAATATCTCTTGAAGAACCTGTCTGAGGGTGGTTTACAGTTAATTTTTTTATAAGGAGATGAAGTACACTCTAAAATAACAATAAAACTTACAGTATTGTAAATACATAAATTAGTAATATAATCATTTGCTATCGTTTTCAAGTACTATATACTAAGTGTATGTGCTATTATTTTTATCACTGGCAGCACAGTAGGTTTGTTTATACCAGAATCACCACAAACGTGTGAGTAATGCTTTCTGAGATGATGTTACAAGGGCTATATCACCAGGAAATAGAAATAGAAATTTTTCAGCTATGTTATAGCCTTATGGGACCACCATTGTATATGTTGTACATTGTTGACCAAAATGCCATTATGCAGAGCATGACCATACAAATGTACAGATGCTCATCAAATTACAATGAGGATACATCCTGTTAAAATCATTGAAGTCAAAAATATTGTAAGTTAAAATGCATTTAATAAACTCTGTCTACTGAACATCATAGCTTAGCTTAGCCTACCTTAACCATGCTCAGAACACTTGCATTAGCTTACAGTTGGGCAAAATCATCTAATACAAAGTTAATTTTTATAATAGTGTTGAATATAGTATGTGACTGATTGAACTGCACTGAAGTAAAGTTTCCACTGAATGCATATCACTTGGCACCATCATAAATCCAAAAAATTGTAAATTGAACCACTGTAAGTTGGCGACTCTCTGTATATAAAATATGTGTGTGTGTGTTTATGTATTTTAAATCATCACTGCCTCTACTTTTCTAATTTTTGCATGGAAATCCAAATCCAAGGGAGCAAGACAGCCAATTTTTTTTTTTTTTTTTTGTATTTTTAGTAGAGACGGAGTTTCACCATGTTGGTCAGGCTAGTCTTGTACTCCTGACCTCGTGATCAGCCTCCCCAAGTGCTGGGATTACAGGTGTGAGCCACCGCACTCGGCCAAGATAGCCAATTTTAATTATAACCCAGAGCTAAAAATGTCTAGAAAATTAAAATCATCAGCTAATAACCAAACTATTATATAAATATAGATTATTTTCTAGAAAAGAAAAGTTCAAAGGCCATTTAATAGTTGAAATTTTATGATGGGTGCAAATTTTGATGCACTATGTTTTGCTTTAGATCCTTTTTAAAGAAAGCATTAAATAAGGAATGCTTTACAGAGTTATTGAGATTTTTTAGCAAAAAGAAGTCCTCATTATTTTTGTTTTGGTTTCCTGTGCTTTTGGTGTCATATCCATAAAATCATTGCTGAGACGAACATCATGAAGCTTTTCCCTCATATTTCTTTTTGCACTTTAATGATTTGAGTCTTACATTTACGTCAATAACCTATTTTGAATTTTTTGTGTGTATGGTGTAAAATTGTGTCCAATACCATTCTTTTTTATATTCTTATCTATTTTTCCACCACCATGTGTTGATTAGGTCATTGTGACTTTTTGGCACCCTTAGTGAAGATCAGTTGACTATATATACATAGATTTATTTCTGAGTTCTGTATCATATTCCAGTATTCTATATGTCTGTTGTACAAGTGGTACTATATCAAACTAAAAAGGCTCTGTACAGCAAAGGAAACAACAGAGTGAAGAGGCATTTTGCCTTAACAGAATGGGAGAAAATATTTGCAAAATGTATATTTGATAAAGGTTTGATCTCCAAAATACTTTATTTTTGAAACTCCTGTAACTCAATAAAGCATGTGACTTGATTTTAAAAATGGGCTAAAGACTTGGAAAGACAATTTTCCCCAAAAGAACTATAAATAGCCAATAGATATATTTAAAAATGTTCAATGTCCCTAATGATAAGAAGAATGCAAATCAAAGTCAACAAGAGATATCTCCTCACACCTGTCAGTATGGCTATTACAAAACAAAAACAAAGAAATCAAAACAATAAAACCCCAAAGACAGTATGTTTTTAGTAAGAATGTGGAGAAAGTGGAACTCTTGAAAACTGTTGGTGGGAATGCAAAATGGTGCAGCCACTATAGAAATCACTACGGAGGTTTCTAAAAAAATTTAAAAATGGAACTACCATATGATTCAGTAATCAAAATTCTTGGCATTTATCCAAAAGAATCAAAATTACACTCTCAGATACAATCATATACTAGTACTCTTATGCTCATTGCGACTCTATTTACAATATCCAAGATGTGGAAACAACCTAAATGTCCATCAACAAGTACATGAATAAAAAAATGTGCTACATATATAATATATACTGACTAAAACTCTCTCCTTTGACCAAAACTTTATTTGGACTCTTTTGAATCTTATGCTTGGCTAGGTCTAACCTTGGGCTTCTCTTTCTGTCCTTGTTGAATCCAGTTTGAGCAAGATTCCTGTTAAGTCAGCTTAGGAAAAAAGCTTCAATATCTTATGACACTGGACTCCATTCAGCAATAATTCCATCAAGTTGATGTAGCTAGAAACCTCGTTTTTCTGTATGTTTCCTCTTAGTAATTTTCCATTCACTGAACCCCACCCTGCTTTTTGGTATAAGTCTCCACTTGTCATGGTGGAAGTCAGAATTGAGTCCAATCTCTCTCTGCTCCTTTAAGACCACTTTGCTGGGGTCCCTATACCTATTACCATGCCCATCCTTGAACAATATCTGCCTTAACATCTTTAAGAAAATTCTGCAATATATAATACAATGTTGTATGGCAGAAAGTTTCAGTCAAGCCAGGTAAAAAAGCCCTAGAGATCTGCCAAACAACATTATGTCTATAGTCAAAGATTATACACTTAAAAATTGGTTAAGAGGATAGGTCTCACGTTAAGCATTCTAACCACAATAAAATAAAATTAAAAAAATTTAAAAAAGTCTTCACTAGCATTAAAAATTATTAATTATAAATTTATTACAGAGCTGTCCTCAATTAAATTAAAAAATAAAATTGTCAGCCCAATGAAGGCATTATCTTAAAAATTAGAATTAATGTGCAAAGAGTAGAATAATGGGAGTGGTAAAAATTGAAGTTATAAAAGTTATGTTCTACCCTCAACCATCCCATTAGTTAGGTAGGCTGGGTAAGTCATTTTTTTTTCTCTAAGCCTCAATTGTACTTCTTTAGACTTGGGCTAATCATACTAAACAAATGGGATTGCTATTATGTTAAAACACAGACATTAACAAACAGCAGTTCAATCTGACTCTGGCTAACTATATACTGAATAGAATGCTTAATGTATTTTAACCATTCTCACAGAAGTAGAATAAACAATATAAACAATAAATTTCCGAATCCAAAGTTTAAGAGATGTTAAGGCAAATACTGTATTGTCTGAAAAGTATACACTT